>NC_000006.12:65640685-65943715 GCF_000001405.40 Homo sapiens | reverse complement strand
CCGCAGAAAAGTTACCACCAAGCCAAGTCTGCAAGGTCATAGAGGGACTGCATTTTGCACCCACGATTGTTGAACATCCTTGCTATGTTTGTAAATTTTCCCTGCTTATAAATTTCTGTTCCCTGGAGAAGAGAAGCCAAAGAATATAGAGGATCTTTTCTAGCTACAGCTAAAGCTAATTTAAGTTCATCTGAGCTAGGCAACTTCAATCATAATCACTTGTGTAGTCCTAAATTCAGAAGAATGTGATTTGATGAAAAGGACTCCCTGTAGATTTCACTTTGCTGGTGTTTGTGGCAGAGGATGTTCAAATGTGGGGGATATTAATAGTTACAAAGTTGAGTTTCAGAAACAGAGGAGGAATTTTTGTTAAAAGAAGCAGTGATTGGAATAAATCCAAGTCCTGACAGCAGAATCAACTGTGTCATTTTTGGCTCCTCAGGCCCGTTCTATAGAATTACATTTACAGCCATTTTTTTGGCAGCTTAGTCTTGAAGTTGCTTCTCTAGTCTCTAAAACTGTCAGTGAATTGCCCAATGTTCTTTACATAGGATCGGCTTCTTTTGCTTATAACTAAAAACCCTGATCAAAACAAAAATGTGTTCTAGGAAACGCTGCCAACTAAAAAGCTTCACAGAAACTAAGCAATTCTGAAATTGGTTATGTGGCCTTGTTGAGGAAGATGGACATAAAATCTTTGGTATTATTAATAGATAGAACTCTTGCTAACTGATGAAAAGTCATGAGGGAATGTTCACATTTTCTTCTGTGATAAGAAGGTAGTCTTTAGGTAACCAGAGTCAGGTTTCTTGCAAGCCATTGTCAGTTCCTATCACCTCCACGCACCATAACAGTTTCCAAATATAAAACTAGAATAAGATGCTAGCGTATCCTAGGAATTTCTAACTCATGAGCTGGAAGAGGTTGCTCATTTATAATAGATGAAACCTGGAAAGAATTGTGGAAATGGGTTTTGAGGATGCTAAAACAAGAAAATCAAAATATATTTTAGAGGAGCTCTATTTTTTAAAACCTACATTTACCAGAAATTATGGATTGCTTATACAAGTTTTGTTGATGTTGTTACTCAGTGATACACCCTACAACCCTAAAAGAGTAGCTAATACTTAATCTGAACTCAATAGGTATATCTGAAAAAGCGTACTAGTTCTAGCAGCTATAAAATAGATGTGGTTATTTATCCTGTGAATTAGGTGCAGTGGGTACTACAGTGTTACATGCTCAATAAGGTTAGGTGCACGTAAGAGTCACCTGAAGTGCTATTTAAAACATACTGATTCCCAAATTTCCACCTCCAGAAATTCTACTTAAATTGTGAAGAAAAGCTCCAAAATTTTTATTTTGCAAAAGTTTCTCAGGTGATACAAAATAACAAATCTTAAGAATTATAAAGAAAATAATTTGGGAGCAGGTATATCATATGTGCCCGCTTACCTCTAACTGAATCAAGAGAGCCCAAAATATAGTCATTTCTCTAGGTGTTAGAAAGGATTAATAAGTGAAGTATGAGTGTTATAGAAAGTGCTAATTTTTATTATTTATAGGGCAAAGATGACCAGGGCTGCTGTTGCTGCAGTAGAAATTATTATCTTTTCAATGTAAATGATAGAAGTAAATGATGAAGTAAGCATGACTGCCTTAAAAGAGACAAATGGGAGTGGTGATCAAAATGCTGTGGCCTAAAGGAATCCCTAATGGTGATTAATTTATCTTGGGGTTGCTCAGACCAAAAGAGACGGTCAGCGCTTCAAGTCAAAACTTAACTTGCAAACTGAAAATTCTGCAGATCTAGTGAACAGAGATCTGAATTTAGCTATGAAGAGAGAACAGAGCCCCGTATACAGACATAGGGCCCCTTGAGGAAATTGGAGACTGGAAACACATAACCATAACACAAATATGAAACATGTTTTTTACTCCTTGCCTGGAATGCCTTATGCTAAGGCACGAATTATTTGTCCCACTGCCAAGAAGACAAAAGCCACATGTTAAGGATGATCCCACCCAAGGATCATGGAAGCTTGGAGCCTTGATAGCATTGTTGACTAACATGGAGCAATACTTTAGTTGTTAAAAGCACAGATTCTAGCATAGGGATGACTGAGTTCAATAACTGTGTCAATTGAATTATGATTTCAGCACCTATTCAATTCTACAAATTCTTAGATTTTTCTAAACTAAAACACCAATAGAACCTATCTTCTCTACCATCTGTTTCCACCTGAATATTATGATATAAGCTAATTGCCAAAGAAAGGTAAGTATCACAATTATCTTGGCTATCCATAAGACATTATTTTTGAAAACAGAATTGTTACTCCTGAAAAACTTGGAATCTTAAATAAAAGTAATACTATTCCATGGTAAGAAGCATATAACATAGGGGAAAAAAAGCCACCACATTTTGTACTACTTATAATGTATTGAATTTTTAAAAGCTATTTATCTGTGTCTCTGCTAAAATTACCTGCAAGATATAACTTCAAACTTGCATTATCAATCAAACTTATTCTCAGCAGTTAATGTGGTGAGGAAAAATAAGGTACTGCAATTTTTTAAGAAATTAAAATGCATGCCAAAATTCTAATAATCATTTAATTATTTAATAATAATTTCAACATTTCTTTAACTTTTGGACTATTATATCAACTTACGAAGGATAAGGTGGCTGTCCTAGGTCCTCCATTAGCCCACAGCTAACATTGGATTTACATCCTCTTAAATAGAAATTTTGTTTCTCCAATTCAGGTGCATAATATTGTTTATTAAAAATGTTATAGGTAATTTGACTTGGATAAATCTTATGGCTTTCCTTCTATTGCATACCTTAACAATTTCTCTACTGGCTGACTTAACATGAAAATCAGTCAATCATTTTCTTCATATTTAATTAATGTTCTGTTTCATGTTGTGTTAGCAGTTTTATTAACTAATTAGTTTCGTCATTACAGTTCTGAGAATTCTTACCCGGTCCAATGGTGTAATCTTAAAGTTATCAGAAACTTGTGTTTGTGAGTCCTTTCCGAGAATCTTCGTGAAGACAAAATATGTTGTTTATTGTTGCTCTGGAAAGTACCAGAGTAAAGAATTAACTGTTAATAAGACTTAAAATGGCCGTGGTTAAAGATGTGATAATACAATTGACAAGGAATTTCAGTTATTTCTCTTGTATACAATATTTTAAGATAGTAACTAGAATTATGACTAATATCATTATACAAGGAGTGCTAGATTCCTATGAATTTCATACAATGTGTAAAACACACATTAATAACATGTCCATAAAATATAACTTAAAGAAGGTTTAAAATTATGAATTTGCAATAATTTTTATATAATTAAATATATAAATCTCTCTTTCTATATAATGAGATATCCTTTTGAAATGTTCCAAAGACCCATCAGGAAAATTACAAAGCTAATTTGAGGTAAAGAAAAAGATTTAACTTAGAATTTGATTTGGGAAGCTTGTCAAAAATATCAAAGGTTTAAAACATTTTATCAAAATAGGATCACAGGTCACTGTGAACAATAGTTACTTATTTAACCAAATTCATAATTAAAAGACTTCAAAGGCAAATACAGAAAGTTACATAGTTGTAGAAAACCTTAACTGTTTCATAGACAGCACTCAGGTTTTTAAAATAGATTAAAACCCAACGAAGACAACACGAAGCCTAGAAAATTAACTTAATAAAACAGAGCATCTTTGTTTCCTAGACCAATTACCCAAAAGTTAAATAAAGACCTTTCACATTTTCCTACTAAAAGCAGACCAATACTTTATAAAAGCCTTATTGTTTGAATGGAGAGAACCAAATTCTACTTTCACATCAGTGTACTTTTATTAATAAGGCTTACTTTTTAGAAAAAAACAATTGTTTTCTAATGTTAGATGTTAGCCATCTTACACACATAAAATTTCTTTCATGAAATTTCTCTTCCACAAGCCTACAACTTTCTAATCAATTCAGTTTTGCCTTATATTTTTTCTCTTCTCATTTTAGGAAAAAAACATTTATTCTGCTTTAGGACAGAAATTTCTTTTTCTTTAAACAAAACAAAATATCCTCATACTTTACAGCTTTTCTTTACCAAAGAACATCTTATCTTTCTTGTATAGTTTCATATAGACGTTGTCCTTATTATTTCTAGTAATTTTAGTTACATATATTTCTTAAAATTCTTAAACTTAATGACTTTCATTTTCAGTGAACACTTGGCAGAAACCGTGAACTCTCTGTTACATCCATAATCTGTAGATTCATATATATATATATATCTTGCACTTGTAAGAAGCATGTACTCTCCCATAGTACAATTTGGCAATGTGGCATAGAACATGTTTATGAACAGTCTCTAATATCTTTAGTCTCACTGTAATAAGAAACTATAAAAGAGGCAAAATTGTATCACTACCTTCTTGTGTTTGTCTGTTTGTTCTTTGGCTAGAGCTAATAATTAAATTCTTGTTTGTACATATTTTCCTCAACCTCAATTTTTCATTATTGATTATAAATATGTTAAAATTTTCTGGTATAGAAAGTACATATTTTTCACGGAAATTTTATGTTACTAGTGTCTAACTCACTTATTTTTTTTTTTTTTTTTTTTTTTTTTTTGAGACGGAGTCTCGCTCTGTCGCCCAGGCCGGACTGCGGACTGCAGTGGCACAATCTCGGCTCACTGCAAGCTCCGCTTCCCGGGTTCACGCCATTCTCCTGCCTCAGCCTCCCCAGTAGCTGGGACTACAGGCGCCCGCCACCGCGCCCGGCTAATTTTTTGTATTTTTAGTAGAGACGGGGTTTCACCTTGTTAGCCAGGATGGTCTCGATCTCCTGACCTCATGATCCACCCGCCTCGTCCTCCCAAAGTGCTGGGATTACAGGCATGAGCCACCGCGCCCGGCCTAACTCACTTATTTTTAACAATTATGCCTTGATTACTTATAAAGAAAAGATGTTTAACCACTGGACATCATTTTGTTTTTCCTGTTGACAAATTTTGTAGTAAAAATATAATGTAGGCTTATTTTATCATTAAACTATAGTAGAAAGAAGGATACATCAGTATTATACCTAATACTGAAAACTTTGAAGACATGCCTGTTTTTAATCAAACCAAAAAATATTCTTATTTACCAAAGATCATTCAAGCCCTAATGTTGTAGTCTCAGCAATCCACCAAGATGTAACAGTCTCTTGTCTGAGATGATGCCCAGAGTTCTTTGTCCTACCTCCAAGAAAATTAGGGAGTGGAGACACAAAGGTGAGGTTAGAGCAAAAGTTTGATAAATGACAAAGAAAGCTCTCTGCCAGCAGAAAATGGGGCCCAAGCAAGGTGTCCCCTATGAGGCTGGGGTCCAGGGTTTTTATGAACTGTGAAGGGGAAGGAATGTGCTTAGTCTGAAGGCTGTCTTGAAGAATGTGTGACTCAGCTTGGCCCAGGATTCTGGCCCAGGACCAATCAGAAAGCTTGGCCTGGGACCAATCAGGAGCTGAAATGATGATTCACAGATGCTCCTTAACTTGGCCCAGGACCTATCAGAAACTTAAGTAAAAGCTTGGCATGGGACCTTGACCCAGGACCAATCGGGGCTGAAAGGATGATTCATAGAAGCCGGACTTACATTCCAAATAAAGGAAAGTAGAGTGCCTGCCAGAACCCACCAGAGCCTACCATGCCCATGCCCACAAAAAGAGAAAAAACTTTTTTGGGGGAACCTGTCACTATACAAAGAACAAAGGCATGTCTATGCTAGGCCTTGTCTCCTTATCTGAGTGAGCTGGACCTTTGTGCAAGTTTTTATCCAAATGGGCCGGAGTTTTTTCTATCTGTACAGCCAAAGGCATGTCTCGAGGAAGAACAAGCTATGATAGTTCCCTTATCAGTGCCTGAAGCTTGAATTTTTTCCCAGGCTGTTTTTTATTTTATGTGGGGATGAAGCACTGATCCATGGGCCGGGGGCTCCCTGGAGACCATTTCCTTGCTGTCTACCTAAGGCAAGCTAACTAACTCCTTTTAGTCCACCCTCAGGAGTGGAGACCCTAACTGCTGTTAGGGAGATTTTGTGTTGATCTTCCTGGCCATGTCTTCCTGGAAAGGGACATTTTGC
Source organism: Homo sapiens (assembly GCF_000001405.40). NCBI lineage: Eukaryota > Metazoa > Chordata > Mammalia > Primates > Hominidae > Homo > Homo sapiens. Next base: position 65,937,579 of record NC_000006.12, on the reverse strand, counting down.
AGGGAGCAGCAGCTAGGATTTCCCCTAGGCCTGATTTAGGGGTCCTTGGAAGAAAGGCATACATGCATGGTGTGGTCAAAATCTAGGATAAAGGTCAACCTTGACACCTCTCAAGTATTGTTCAATTAAATGTGTTATTTTTTTCTTTTTGAAAGAATCTTTGATGTGATAATCAGAGTAGGGAACAAAATTTAGTATCTAAATTTTATGTTAGTCTTCCAGTATTATGTATGTGCCACTATTATGTATGTGCCACTTGTTTATCAGTAAAGGAAATAATAATCAACAATTATAATAGTTAGAGCAATAGTAATAATAATCACGTGTTTTGTCCAGGTACCATGGCTCATGCCTGTAATCCCAGCACCTCAGGAGGTCAAGGGAGGCTGATCACCTGAAGACAGGAGTTTGAGACCAGCCTGGACAACATAGCAAAACCCTGTCTCTATTAAAAATACAAAAATTAGCCAGGAGTGGTGGGGCATGCCTATAGTCCCAGCTACTCGGAAGGCTGAGCTATAATCTGAGCCACTTGGGAGGCTGAGGCTGGAGAATCACTTGAACCTGGGAGGCAGATGTTTCAGGGAGTCAAGATCACACCACTGCACTCCAGCCTGGGTGACAGAGCAAGACTCCATCTCAAATAATAATAAATGATAATGTGTTTGGTATTGCTCTCGTTCTCATGTTTGGAGCAAGCCTGTGAAAAACTGAATTATTAATGTTGCCTCTTTATCTTCCATCCAAAATTCTTGTATCTAGCTACAAATTTGCCATACAAGAATTCTTGTGCTTTTCCATAGATATTACTTGACTTTGCCTTCAGTCATAATGCTTAATTTGACCTTTGTGGGCAGAAGTTAAGAGCTTACCAGTTTTGAAGCTAGGCCTTAGAAAACATTGTTATGTGTCAACTTGCTAACTTATGCCCTATTGTTGTCATAACAGGAATATGTCCCAGCTGGCTCACTGAACAAATAAACATAAAGACACATAATGTAGACTTCTTTCTCAGCTACATGTTGCAGCCAAGACCAGCAGAGCCTAGCCAAACACAGCCCGTATCTGCTCATGCCTACTGATCTGCAGACCTGTGAGAAGGATGATTGCTGTTTTAAGCCATTGACTTTGGGGATGATTTGTTATACAGCAGTAACTAGCTTGCTCTCTTTCCTCTCTTTTCTCAATCACTTTGTCTTTTCACTTCAGGATTAATATCAGAATAATTTCCTGTTATGGTCATCCTTGTGGCACTTACGATGCTTTGAATTCTGATAATCCAGTTCCACTAACAAATCAGGAAAAGAAAAAGTAGAATCTTATAGCTAAAATAAAAAACTTTCTTTTTCCACAGATAATGTGGTAATTTTCACAGGTCTTTTGGTAATTTTACTATCTGAGATTGCAAATGTTTAAGAAAGTCTCACAACCCTCTGTGTAACAAACGGGAGCAATTTAGAGGATATTAAAAGAAAACAAATGTTGTTGTTTGTGCATTGAGTGTATTATTGGATTTTGAATATTTTCAGCTCACTAGATTTTCAAATATTTTGCATTAGGGACAGAAAACAAATCTTTGAATTTCCTAAAGCTCAAAGAAGCTTCGATATTTTACATAACACTTCTATAAGATAGTCAAGAAGCTCCAGATAGCATTGTTCTATTCTTATTTTATTGATCAGAAAGGTAAGCACAAAACATGTTAAACAATTTTCCTAAACAAAGGAAGCAACCAGGGAATATGATTTCTTCAAAATTTCAGTTTCAATTCAATGTCCACTCTGTACTATTTCTGGTGAAGTTGAATAATACTGCTTTGTGCCTGTAGAACAGTCAAAACATTTTATAGGCCTTTATAAATCTTTTTACTTCCCTATGAGATTGAAAAATCAAAATGTTTTATATACAGCACAATGAATCACAGTGGTTGTACTACAGTTTCAAAATGCTTACACATCAAAACCATACCCATGAATTTCTATTAACTGTCAGCATTTGCAAAACAACAGCATTTCTGGCTAGGAAGGTTTCAGTATTTCATAAGAAAATCAACATTCAAACTTAATTCCTCATCTATGAATTTCTTTCCCTTTTTGTTACGAAGCTGCTGTACATATTTTGAAAGTTAAGCTATTGCATGTTTTTTAGAGCCTTATGAAGTTCTGTGATTTTAGAATCAAGTCAATACGTATTTTAAATAGCAAATGTATTTAAGTGTCACATAGTTTGAGTCCTCTACAGACATAAAATAGTCACATTCAATTTCTCAAAAAAATGAGGTAACTTTGGGTTGGGCATGGTGGCTCATGCCTGTAATCCCAGTAGTTTGGGAGGCTGAGGCGGGTGGATCATGAGGTCAAGAGTTCGAGACCAGCCTGGCCAATATAGTGAAACCCTGTCTCTACTAAAAAAATAACAAAAATTAGCTGGGTGTGGTGGCGCACGCCTGTGGTCCCAGCTACTTGGGAGGTTGAGGCAGGAGAATTGCTGGAACCTGGGAGGCAGAGGTTGCAGTGAGCCAAGATTGCACCACTGCACTCTAGCCTGGGCAACAGAGCGAGATTCTGTTAAAAAAAAAAAAAAAAAAAAAAAAAAAAAAAAAAAGATCACTTTAGTGTAAGCGTCACAAAAAAGAAAAAAATTACATACTTTGAATAAAATTAGGTCAACACATGATTGGTCATTATAAAAATGCCATAGTCCATTTCTCATAATTCACATAAAATATTGTGAAGTGTTAAATTTTTTGAAGTGTATCCTTCATTACCATTGTCCAAATTTATTATTGTTTCTTTATCAAAATGAAGCAAAATGTTAAGTGCAGTAAATACTGGCAATATTCACAACAAATGTACAAAACAGACCTAAGGGATACTTGAAGATTTTATTCCCGGTTTTTCTTACTTTAAATATATATTTTTTAAATGTTAGTAATCTCACAATGTATCCTACTAGAAAATCTGAGAGTGAGAGGCAGCAGATACCAGAGCAGATTTAAGAAAAGTGCACATCTCCAAATGTGCTGAAGTGGGGAATGGGTAAAGAAGCTAACACAACTTCCCAATTAAGAAATATCTGTAGCACCTAGGAAATGTAGAAGAGGATGAATTTGCATTGCCACAAATTAGGTGTAAAAAAGGTGGTTTTATACTGCCTGATGAATAACTTGGGTATATTAGAGGAGGAATTCAGGGTTATGCCTTTGCTTGACAGGTTATCTGAAAAGCAAGAGTGTTGAAAATTTTGTCAAGAGAGTTGAAGTAATAAGTTCTTATGTCTTGTTGGAAAATAATATGGAGCTAAGAGACTAATAGAAGAGAGAGGGTAAAAATAATTCTAGGCCCCCATGAATCAAGAAACAATGGTAAGAAGGGAATGAGAGATTCAGAGAACAAGAATCTTCACTTGGAACATGAAAGTTTAATATGTTGTAATAAAGATGTTTGGGTGAGGATGAGTCTAAGGTGTAGTAAAAGATGTAATCTTTTGATATGGAGCTGAAGGGAGAGCTATTAAATTTGAGCAAGAAAACACCATGAACATGCACATCAATAATTTAAAAACCACATTGGCTTTTTAATGTTAATTCAAGTACTTATGGCACCCTGCTGAAACCATATCTACCGTAAAATGTGGGATAAATATTGGGCAATTTGTGCCATATAAGAAATTGGTCTTAGCTTCTTTTATTACTTGGTTGAAATTTATGCTTTCTAACTGTGATACGCAAGTTTTCTTTTTAAAGTAGAGGCGCTTCGTGACCTGAATAATTGTATCATTACAACTTAACTTTATTTTTTCACATTTCTGTTTTTTAATTTCCTCTCTCTTCTTTTTACAAATATTATTCTTAGTTTTCTGCAACCAAATAACTTTTCTCCAAGCTTTCCCACCCTCGGGGAAGAGACTGCATCCTGACATCATCTATGGATAAGAACTTACTCTAATGGACTATTGTGCTCATAGAGCAAACATATTCTACATTGTGATGTAAAGTCAAGAATCTTAGTTAATAATTATTTATTAAGCTAACATTATGTGCTTTAAATAGGAGAGAAAGAGTACTAAGGAGTGAATGGTACTGGGTTATAGATAGAAAAAATGTATAATGGAATGACTAGACAGGCTACCCAGTAATCCATTATTTACAGCTACTATACACAAACATTATTATATTAATTCCTTAAGAAAATTTTACTCAGCACTTTTTAAAAGCCAAGCACTGTCCTATTGTTGGGGCTATAAAAGGGAGGAAGCCCTTAATCTTATGTTCAATGAGGTCTAGTTTATTAGGGAAATTCACAGATGATTTTACTACTATAATATTAAAATGTTAAAGGCTAAAGTGACATTTACTATTTTGTGCAATTACTATGATGCTACATAGAAAGAATACTTTAACAGTGGTTTGGGTGCTAGAAATGTCAACAAAGAGAAATATTTTTTAAGTAATCTCTGGAAAAATAAAGAGAATGTTTCTAGGGCAGACAGAGAGAAATAACCCAGCAAGAATGAATAACATCCCCCTTTATTACCCCAACAGAAACTCAATGTCAGATCCTATATATCTACTAGTTTTGGGCTATGTTATTCCACCATGAAATCTTTGTTAGATATTTTATATAATGATATGATATTATATTTTATTGTTAAATTATTATTTGATACAATATACTATATTAACTGATGTTATATATTTATTTTACATAATACATTTAATTTTTTATAACATTTATATTTTTTATATTTGTATGATTTATAGTGTTCTTATACTTATGACATATTCCTTTATGTGTTCCATGGTAAATTATTTAAAAAGTATATTGTGTATATAATATAGATGTTTTTATGTTTTCTATTTATGTATTCTAAATTATATTTTATATTTCTATGTATCATCATACATGTAACATACTTTGAAATATGAATGTAGAAAATATTTTATAAATGTAAAATATGTGATTATACATGCTTGTACATAAATCATGTATAAATAGGATCAGTATACAACTATTTAATGTTTTGAAATTTGTCTACTATTTTTTAAAATATTGTTTAATGGAATGGATCACAGTACCATAGTTTTACACCATAATGTTTGGCTATTATATGTCTAATCAAACCTCCGAAAATACAAACATAGAAAATAATTGCATAAATAAGGAGAAGGAGTTGAAAATGTATTTTAAAAATATATTTAAAATATTAAAATTGTTTGTACATTTTGGATAACAGTCCTTTATTAGGTATGTCTTTTCCAAATATTTTCTCCCAGTCTGTAGTTTATCTTCTCATTCCCTTGACAGTGCCTTTCTTTCACAGAGCAGAAGTTTTTAATATTAATGTTTACACATCAGTTCTTTCTTTCATAGATCATGCAATAGTGTTGTATCTAAAAAGTCATATCTGCTTTCTTCTCTGTTATCCTTTAGGAGATTTATAGTTCTGCATTTTATCTTTAGGTCTAATAACTTATTTTGAATTAATCTTTGTGAAGGATGTAAGGTCTGTGTATGCATTTTTGTTTTTCATGTGGATGCCCTGTTGTTCCAGTAGCATTTTTTGAAAGAACAATCTTTGCTTCATTGTCTGTTTTCCTTGCTTCTTTGTCAAAGATTAGCTAAATATTTTTGTGGATGCATTCTTGGGCTGTCTATTCTGTTTCAATGGCCTGCATATTTTTTTGACAATACCACATCTCTTGATTACTGCAGCTCTATAGTAAGTCTTAAAGTAGGGTAATGAATCCTTTTGATGGCAGCAGCAGGCTGCCTGGAACAGCCTACTGCCATCATGCCAGCTTCAACAAGGAGGCATGGCTGGGGCTGCATGCTCCATGGAGTCAGCGGGAGCCAGGGACAAGTGGAAGCTTCACCTCTTCTGATTTGGAGTGGGAGCTCCTCAGGTGCCACTGCAGCTGCCCAAGCCAGGCTGTGGACCAAGGCATCTCTGTGCCCTTGGGGGTCCAGGGGCAGGTGGAGCCCCACCCTCCCTGACACAGGTGCAGCTGCCCAAACCACAGCTGCAGACCCAGGCCTCCCTCTCCACAGAATGGGGGGGGCACCCTCCTGGGTGTAGCTATAGCCACCCAAATCATCCCTGCAGTCTTGGGTGCCCAGGAAGGCCCCTCTGCCTCCACAGGCTCAGAAGTGTCTGTTCCTATGGCCTGGTTTCTCCCTGCTGTCAGTGCCCACTCCAATTTTAGAGCAAAGTCAGGGCCAAGCCCAGGCGCTGTTACATCCTGCTGAGACACACACACACGTGGCGCAGTGCTGACACACCAGCCCCCTCCCACCTCAGTCCCCTCTAGATTTTGGGTACCAATGAGCATAGGAGGGAAACCAAGGGGGTACTAAGGGAAGTTCAGCACTGGGCTGCAGGTTCCCCTTGGCACCTACAGACTGGGCTCCATGAAAGGAAGCAGGAAGCAGACAAGTTCCTGGGGAGAAGGGAGCAGGTCCCTGGCGAGGCCTCAACTTCAGGCCAGAGAGGGCCTTAAGGCTGGTGTGTGGGCTGCTACTCCCATGGACCTGAGTGTGAACTTGTGGTGCCTTTTCTGGGCTTGCCTATGGCTGCCCATGGACCAATTGGTGTGCACTTCCTCCCCTCTGAGGCTCATAAAAGCCCCACGCTCAGCCAGAGCTGGGTAGATATTGGGATGACCAGCTGCAGAGAGGAGCTACCCACTCCAGGGCCTCCTCTCTGCTGAGAGCTGCAGAGACAACAGGGACAACCTGCCTGCAGAGAGGAGCCTCCCACTCCAGGATTTCCTCATGCCTAGGAGCTGAACACTCATCATAGGGATACCCTGGCTGCTGAAAGGAGCTGCCTCCTTCAGGAGACTGAGCTGTTCTATCTCTCAATAAATCTCTTTGTCTTGCTCACCCTTCACTTCTGTGCATACCTCATTCCTCCTGATCACAGGACAAGAATTTGGGACCTGTCGAATGGCAGAGCTAAAAGAGCTGTAACACAAACAGGGCAGAAACATGTCCCTTGCTTGCCATGTTTCAGGCAAGGAGAAGGGGAGAAGAGCTGAGGCCCTTCAGGGAGCACAGACCTAGAAACTCCCAAGGTCAGGGCTGTGACTCCCACTTTGGGGCCTTGTAGTCCCTTGCATCTCCAAGCTTCTGTGTGCCACTATGTTCCCCTGTGCCAGCCATGGAAGCTGCTTCCAGTGTGCCTGGTCCGTCTGCAGCTTCGCAGAGAGCTGGCGCCTATGTTGGCACCTGTAGCTGCCCACCAGCCTGCAGCAGCTGGCATGTCGGATTCACTCACACACCCCTCTTTGTTCCATACTTGACTCTCCCTTGGCAGGTGTGAGACTGAGGCCTCTAGGGTGAGCTGAGCATAGCTTGATAAGCTGAGTGGGCAAAACAAGCCTTGCAGATCCAAGGCAAAATGCAGCCAAAGGCGCCCCTGGCTTCAGAGGCACCTTTCTGGCCAGAAAAACTATACCCCAAGGATCATGTAACACTGTGACTTTATTCCTCTCTTTTAATATTATGTTGGCTACTCTGTATTTTTTTCCTTCCCATATAAATTTTGAATCCGTTTGTCAATGTACATTAAATAATTTGCTGGGTTTTAATTGAGATTTCATTGAAACTATAGCTCATTTTGGAAATAACTGACATTTTTAACCTTTAAAACTCAACTATAGGAAAATAAATAATAAGAAAAAGATCAAACCAATTACACTCAACAATAAGAAAATGAACAAGTTGAATAAAAAATGGGCAAAAGACATAAATGAAAACCTTACCAAAAATGGTATGTGGCAAATAAGCACATGAAAACATGCTCTACATCATATATCATTAAGGATTTGTAAATTAAAACAACAGTTATTAGAATCAGCAAAATCCAAAACACTGAAAATAGTAAATGCTGGAGAAGGATGTGGAGCAACAGGAGCTCTCATTCATTGCTGAAGGGAATGAAAAATAGCATAGCCATTTTGGAAGACAGTTTTTACCGTTTCTTAGAAAACTTGATTAAAAAACAACTGTAGTTTTGCCATTAAATTTCTTTGGATTTAGTTAATAGTTTCAGATTGAATATGAAACCTCTGTTTTTATGGGTACCATATTACAAAATGAAATTTAAACACATCTAGTTATACATAAAAATGATTAGTGATTAGGGAAGTCAATAAGGTACATAAAATATCTACATTTGTTCATCAGTCCTTTAATTGTGGAAAAATTTTCTGTGATATATAAAAGCAAAAAAGTGAATTTTATTGTTTTAATTGAAATAAACGTATTGGAAATGATGTTATCTCTTCAAATGTGTATCTTCCATTTTTATTCATATCCTCCATGGTTGTAATACCTTAATATTTATTTCCATTTTATTGTATGTATTTTTCACAAATCACCCTAAGTGAGCAGTGAATTAAGTAACATTATAGATGCAAGACCAAACAGATAAACTTGTTCATTTCTCAGGTTTCACTAATTTCAGTTTCATAATAACTCCACTGCTTGTCCATTAATCATAGCAATCTAGTCATAGATTTTCACTATATTTTAATAGATCATGTCTATTTTTTCCTTAATCTCAGTTCACTATCAATTTAAAGACAGCTATTGAACATCAATTCTGTGCCAGACAATTTGAAAAACATTGGGTTACAAAAATAAACTACATAGGTTGAGCCTAAATTATGCCACCTAAGCTAATAACATTGCTTATTTTTTGTTATTTTAAAATTTTATTTTGGGGATATTAAAACGAAAAATTAAACAAGTTATTTTTTCTTCAAATTGTTATTTATTTTCTTCCAATTTCCTGCAAATGTAAAAAAGGCAAACTCGCAGAGAAGCAGGTGCTATAAACAGGATATTACATATAGCTTTCATTGATTTACATTATCTGACAGAACTTCTAATTCGTTTCACAAGACACTGATTGAAAATGCAATTTTTTCCTTCAACATCAGATGTGTTCTTGTTGTTTTCATATATTTATAAGAGTAACAGATGATGGTGTTCTTCTAAACTTCCCGGCAAGCAAACAGCCAGGGACATTTAAAAAAGAAACAACTTTTATTTGTGTCAATTACCAATGTCACTCATTTCAGAATAAATTAGGCATGCTGTTATTAATAGGAAAGTATGTAACTGCTGATATTTTAAGCTGTGATACATATAAGTTATTACAAGAATGCCAAGAAATCATTTCTCATTGCAATAGGTATAATTTTACTGAAAGAAAGACCATTAATATAAATAAGGTCAAGATATGTTGCTGGTGGCTATTTTAATGCCATTTTAGAGTGCACTATTGTTGATAATAAAATATGTTAAATAATATTATAATTCTTAACAAATATTTTTGTTTTTAACACGAATATTTAATACTGATATAATTATTTTTTCAACTATATTGTTCCCTTTACAGTACAAAAGGATATAGCTTGTCATCTCCTGAACTCAAAGGAAATCACCTACACAAGAAAAGATGTTTATACAGGAGTGTGCTAAGTACCACAGTGACTGGGAGAATTTACCCTGAGCCTGTTATTTGAAGTAAGAAAATACCTTCTGAACCTGACCTGAATTAAGTCTTTTCTCATCGTTGTATTCTTTCTTTCTTGAAATTTAACATTTGTCCCAGTCAGTGGCTCACACTTGTAGTGCCAACACTGTGGGAAGCCAAGGTGGGATAATAGCTTGAGCCCTGGAGTTTGAGACTGGCCTGGGAAATAAAGTCGGACACCATCTCTACAAAAAAATAAAAAAATTGGCTGGGCCTAGTAGTGCATTACTGTGGTCCCAGCCACATGGAAGGCTGAGGCAGGAGGATCAATCGCCTGAGTCCAGAAGATTGAGGCTACAATAAGCTATGCTGCACCTGCAGGCTAGGTGACATTGCGAGACTCTGCCTCAAAAAAAAAAAAAAAAAAAAAAATTAAAAAATTAACATTGTTTCTAGTCTGCATCCACCACCACAAAACAGATTTCAAATTACAGTCTAGTATTATATGCCTATAGCCTATGTAAGTTATTTTATTCAAATCATTTTATAATACATTTAGAATATGATCTGTTAGTTTTATCTCCCTCTGTTTCATGACCAGTACCCACTCAAATTTCATTTTGAATTGTAATCCCCAGGTATGGAGGAAGAAACCTGGTAGGAAGTGACTGAATCATGGGGGCGGTTTCCACCATGCTGTTCTTGCGATAGTGAGTGAGTTCTCACGAGATCTGATGGTTTTATAACTATTTGACGGTTCCTCCTTCACACACACACACGCACGCACACGCGCGCCCACGCACACACACAAACACACGCTCTCCTACTGCCTTGAGAAGAAGGGGCCTGCTTCCCCTTCCACCATGATTTAAGTTTCCCGAGGCCTCCCCAGCCATGCGGAACTGTGAGTCAGTTAAATCTTTTTCCTTTATAAATTACCCAGTCTTGGGTTGTATCTTTATAGCAGTCTGAGAATGGAGTAATACGATGCCTCTAGCATTAAAATTTTTTTTAAAAAGTACACGGCCGGGTGCGGTGGCTTACGCCTGTAATCCCAGCACTTTGGGAGGCTGAGACAGGCGGATCACGAGGTCAGGAGTTAGAGACCAGCCTGACCAACATGGTGAAACCCAATCTCTACTAAAAAGACAAAATTAGCCGGGCAACATAGGGCATGCCTGTAATACCAGCTACTCAGGAGGCTGAGGCAAGACAAGTCGCTTGAATCCGGTAGGCGGATTTTGCAGTGAGCCTGGATTGCGCCATGCACTCCAGCCTGGGCAACAAGAGCAAAACTGCGTATCAAAATAATAAATAAATAAGTATACACAGAGTCTTTCATTGTACCCTCCCAAAAAACAAATAAGGAAACCAAAAAAATGTAAAAAGCTACATCAGAAGTAAAAGTAGCGTACTTTATCATGTCAGGTTACAAAATCAAAACGAGATGTTTTCCTCTAAACCCCTAACATCTAGCTTAAAAATATAAAATAAAATATTAGCCATAAGTAGAAAACATACCTAGGAATAAAATTAATAAAAAATAGATAAAATCCATTAGACATAATTTTAATGTCATCTGAAGGAAAAATGATCTAGGAAAAAAATTAATTGTGGAAAAAAAAAAGCTCTACCTCTTTCTCATGCCTAACATAAGTATGTATCCTACTGGATTAAAAAACTTAAATGTAAAAAAGAAACCAAAATTATGCTGGAAAATGCAAATATAAATATTTCAAAGTGGAGAGAGGGTTTCTAAGAAAACAAGATAAAATCTGTATAATCAAAGATTGGCAGAACGCATTGTAGGGAATATATCTTCATCAAAGTACTCATATACAATTTGATCTACTATGAATTCATAGAACAAGTAGATCTTATAGGAAAATACCATTCTTATAAACTTAGTATCAAGTTTTTAGACAGATGTTTTTCTCTGCTCTCTTCTGGAAAACATTAATTTATTCCTGGCTTATTCTTAAAAATGATAGTCCTTTGTGATCCAGCATTTTTTGGGAGCATTCTATTGGAACTTTTAGGAGAGATACTGAGCTTTGTCTTTCAGCGTGAGTGGTAGTGAGTGCAGAGCTCTTCTCCCTCTCTTGATTCTCACTTTCACTTCGTTTTTGTCATCTAATGAATTCTTGTATTGTTGCAAACTCATCCTTACATTTACAAAACTTTAAGCAAGGTTGTTGATCAGGGCATTTGTTCTGCCATACTGCAAGATAAAGACTTGGTATTTGTTCCCTTAAAAGCAGACAAACAAATAGTAAAAACCCTTATCGAGGAATGTAAAAAGTGAAATTACATCAGATATCAAAACTTTTTGCAGCATATATACAAAGCAGAAAGTTAAAGTACTTAATATTTAAGAGATCTTGCAAATCAATAACAGACTTTTTCATTCATTAGACATAAACATCAGCATGTAAAATTTTCTCTTCCAACTATTGTATTAGATTTTTAATTGGATATAGAGTATATTTAAGATTTAGAAAATTATATTACTCTAACTTTCTTTTTTATTGTGAACATTAAGAGAGATGATGACTATGGGTACATTTCTTGCAAGGTAGTATAATTATATAAGATATCTGTCCAACTTATCATCTAGTATTCTCAATAGTAAGCCCAAATTATCTGTTATATGTTATTCAGGTTTATGTAATTATGTAAGTTTATTTTTAATTTTAATTTAATTATCTCACCATGTTTATGTACAGATTATTTTCAATATTTTAAAAATATTTATCATGAGTTGCCTTTCCATGTTATTTAAATGTATTTTCTAATGGGATGTCATTGTTTTTAGTTCACATTCATTACAACCTGAAAATTTAAAGCTTATTGCTTCTTGTTATATTTAGTACAATCTTCCCCATAAATGGGACACTGTTATGCAATTGTTTTTAATGTAAAAATCCAGAATTATTATGAGGTTATACTTTATCTTGCATGACAGTGAGTGGAAGATTATATAACTTCCATTTGCTTTAAGAAGAACCCTGGCTAGCTGACACAGCTGTTACGATAATGGTAATTTGGTGCTGAATGAGAAAGACGCTATCCTGGGAGAGAATTTCCATAACTATTGCATCTAATATCAGAAAAGAAGTAATTTCCTCCCGTACTGCATCCAAAATATTCTGTGAGTTCAGGGACAAGAAAATGGCGTGTTTAAAATCTATATACCCACCATTAGCTTCTACCATTCCTTTGTTCATCTAATGCATTTTTGACATATTTCAATGACAAAAAAAATTGAAGAAATGTATAGAAATGCAAATCCATACCTTTCTAATTCCATCTATTAGAAATGATTTACATCCAATCACACACACACACATACACATACACACACACACACACACGCACACACGTAGTGTCATGGATACCTCAGAAAGTTTATTTGAGGATAGAATTAATTTTCTATAGATTTAGTTAAAGACCCTTTCAATAATAATATGGTTGGCTTATTGCCAAGTTTGTTTGGAAGAGTGTGAATGTACTACAGAGACATAATTATCTCTGTAGTTACCATTTATTAAAGAACAATTTAGAAGAATATAAATCAGCTACTGAATTGAAATTGTGGAAAGTGTTTGTAAGCTCCTTGGAATCTGGGACTACCTAGGTATATTCTCTTTTCTCTCTTTTTAATTAGTTTTACAGCATAAGTTCAGACAAGATTAACACTCACAAGAAAATAAAGATATGCATTAAGAAATATATATATATTATAGCAATACAATATGTTGAAATATAGTACAGAAACTTTTCTGTATTTTTGCTTTGGGTTGTAATTTTTGAAAATACATTTTTTTTAATATATAAAAAATGTATTGAAAGTTTGTTTCCCTCTGGTGTATTGTCCATGCAGTACTCTGTATATGAACTCAATCACTGGTTTCAGAGTAATCTCCCCACAAATACCATCTATGAGTTGGAAAAATACAAAACAGTTTTGAAAACACCACATAGTATTCTAAGGCAGTCAAGATTTGAAGGACAAAGATCTTGGAGATAAATGCTCACTGATGCAAGCCAAACTTCTCTGCAGCTTTTTTTCCAGAGAGTATTTGCTGGTTCACACAAGAGCAATAAGGACTTAGTAGAAAAAAGCATATATTATTTAATGCATTTCACTGAATTTAGAAGTGAAATATAAGGGAGTTTGGGTCTATAGAGGCAAAAATGATTTCGGAGAAAAGAATCCCAAAGAACAAAAGGACATTAAGAAGTAAACCCAACATTCTGCAGGAATTTCTCCTTGGGGCATATAGTAAATAATATGCTAAACATAAATGGACCAACTGCAGAGAAAGCAAGCAGAATACACCTGCTAACTAAAAATAACAAGTATAGATCTCAACATTCTTACAGTACAGAGAAGAAAACAATTTGAGTTCAAAGACTGCAAGTAGGAAGCAGCCCAGTAAACACTTCAGGGTTTCAAATGGATATCTCTGAGGTAATTGGAGATGACCTAGAAATAAAGGAAAAATTATTAATAGCCTCAAAGTATTTTTTTATTATCTTGCAGTCTTCTGCCAAAATAAATAAATAAATAAATAAATAATAAATACATCCTCTGTGATGGAAGACTACTTTATCCAGAGTGACTACAATTTGTCTTATACAAACTCATACATTTAACAACAAAATAATTTGCCATGTTTACCAGGAAGCAGAACATAGAAACAAATAATTAGAATTATATAAAAGTCAATAGAAAAAGATTTATAAGTAATAAAAATTATTAGAAAAAATATTAAAACAACTATGGCTAAGAGTTTTTAAAAAGGGGACAAACTTTTTTAAAATTCTATTTTAGGCCGGGCGCAGTGGCTCAGGCCTGTAATCCCAGCATTTTGGGAGGCCGAGGCGGGCGGATCACAAGGTCAGAAGATCGAGACCATCTTGGCTAACACGGTGAAACCCCGGCTCTACTAAAAATACAAAAATTAGCCGGGCGTGGCGGCGTGCACCTGTAGTCCCAGCTGCTGGGGAGGCTGAGGCAGGAGAATGGCGTGAACCCGGGAGGCAGAGCTTGCAGTGAGCCGAGATCCCGCCACTGCACTCCAGCCTGGGCGACAGAGCCAGACTCCATCTCACACAAAAAAAATAAAATAAAATAAAATAAAAAATAAAATTAAAAAAATTCTATTTTAGGATCCAGGGTAAATGTGCAGGTTTGTTATATAGGTAAAATGCGTGTCACGGGGGTTTGGCATACAGATTTTATTGTTACCCAGGTAATAAGCATAGTACCCAAGTTGGTAATTTTTCTATCCTCACCCTCTTCTGAATCTCCACTCTCAAGCAGGCCACGTTTTCTGTTGTTCCCTTCTTTGTGTTCATATGTACTCAGTATTTAGTTCCCACTTCTAAGTGAGAACATGCAGTATTTTGTTTTCTGTTCCTGTGTTAGTTCACTTAGGATAATGACCTCCAGTTCCATCCATGTTACTGCAAAGGGCATGATCTCATTATTTTTATGGCTCCATGTTATTCCAGGGTGTATATGAACCACTCTTTATTCAGTCCACCATTGATGGGCACTTAGGTTAATTCCATGTCTTTGTTATTGTGAATAATGCTGTGATGAACATACATTCACATAAGTTTTTATGACAGAATAATTTATATTCCTTTTGGTATATATCCAATAATGGAATTGTCAAAGCAAGTGGCAATTCTGCTTTGAGATCTTTGAGGAATTACCAAACTGCTTTCCACAGTGGTTGAACAAATTTACATTCTCACCAGCAGTATATAAGTGTTCCCTTTTCTCTGCACCCTTGTCACCATTTGTCATTTTTTGACTTTTTAGTGATAGCCATTCTGACTGATGTGGCATGGTATCTCACTGTGGTTTTGATTTGCATTTCTCTTTATTAGTGATGTTGAGCACTTTTTATATGCTTGTTGGAGGGCTGTATATATTCTTCTGAGAAGTGTCTGTTCATGTCCTTTGCCTGCTTTATAATTGGGTTTTTTGTTTTTTGCTTGTAGATATGTTAAAGTTCCAGATTCTAGATATTAGCCATTGTTGGGTGCATCTCTTACAAAAATTTTCTTTCATTCTGTAGGGTGTCTGTTTATTGATAGTTTCTTTTGCTGTGCAGAAGCTCTTTAGTTAAATTAGGTCCCATTAGTCAATTTTTTTTGTTGTAATTGCTTTTGGCATCTTCATCACGAAATCTTTGCCAGGGCCTATGTACAGAATGGCGCTTACTAGATTATCTTACAGAGTTTTTAGAGTTGTTTTAGCTTTTACACTTAAGTCTTGAATCCATCTTCAGTTGATTCTAAGGAATGGGTCCAGTTTCAGTCTTCTGTATATGGCTAGCCTATTATCCCTGCACCAGAACAGAATGGAGAACTCAGAAATAATGCCATACACTTACAACCATCTGATCTTCAACAAAATCGACAAAAATAAGCATTTGCTGTTCACAAAAAAAAAAAACACATATTTTAAAGCTGTGGAACATTTAACTTTCCTAGAAAAAGGATAAAAAATAGTGTTCTACTCAAATTTCAACCAAAAGAAAGTTGCTGATGCCATATAAAAACTATACTTTAAGAATAGAAATACTAGAAGAGATGAAGAGGGCTACTTCACAATTATAAATAATCCAATTTAACAGGAAAATGTAATCATCCTAAAAGTTAATTACCATGTGACATATTTGTAACATATGTGTAGCAAAACCTAAGTAATATTTATGTAACTAGCATAAAACATACACTACCACATATGTACCTAGTAACATTACCAAACTATTTGTATAGGTTGAGAAAACTAAAATAAAATATAGAAGAATTTACAATTACAGCTAGAGATTTTAACAAACCATGTAAGTAATAGCTGGAATACACACACACACACACACACACACACACACACACAAACTCACAGGCAGAATTGGTAAGTATATAAACATTTTGAACAATACAATTTGAATTTAACCAAACTGAAACCCAAACTGTGACAAATATTCATTTCAAATTAGCAAGGAGTTCTCACCAAAATTTACAGAATACCTAAGGGCACTAAACAGACTGAGAAATCTTAATTACAGACATAAAACATCTTTGATAAAAAAGAGATTGACAGATGGCTTGACACATGACTTAAAGCAGAGAGAAGGTACCATCCTCAGGGAGCCAAACTGGGCCCTACTTAAGGACTATTCCCCATTTCTTGAGATCTGGAGATATATGTGTGACTGAATTCCAGAGTTGTTGTGGACCAGTAACTGCTATATGCTCTCATTCCTCTCTGTTTTGAATGAGAGTGAATCCTGCTGTTATCTTGTCCCTGTTTCACACTTGTAGTTTGGGAATTCAGAGGTATTAGTTCATAGGTCTCAGTTAAGAGGGTTCCCTGAGAAGCTACAAATGAGTGGGACTTGATCTGCCTCATACACACTTGGGAGTGATTTAGATAACAGGATACTAAAACCTAAGCATGATTCTGATGTAGTAATGTGATTAGAATTTTGGAGTAGACAGTGAGTATATGGGCATATGGGAAAAATATAAATATTTGTGTCCAGGATGCAAGTGTTTTAGATTGAAAATTGCATATAGTATTAATTCAGAGGTGTGAGTGTTAATTTGAAAATATATATTGTAATACTAGAGCAACAATTAAAAAATTAAACATAGAGCCGTAGTTAAAAACGTCAATGAGAATAAAATAATTTTTTTAAAAAAACAACAAAAAATTTACACCAAAAATTCAGGACAAGAGAAAGACAAAAACAAACAACACATGACAAAATTTAAAAAAAAAATTGAAGAGATGGAATCAAGCCCACCATTATCAATAACTACATTAAAAATAAGTTGAATAAGGATATGAACAGACACTTTTCAAAAGAAGACATATATATGGCCAACAAGCATATGAAAAAGAAAGCTCAATATCATCAATCATTAGAGAAATGCAAAGCAAAACCGCAATGAGATATCATCACACACTAGTCTGAATGTCAATTACTGAAAAGTCAAAAAATAACAGATGCTGGCGAGGTTGCAGAAAAAGGGAACATTGTGGAAAGCAGTATGGCAATTCCTCAAAGAGCTAAATGCAGAACTACCATTCAACCCAGCAATCACATTACTGGGTATATACCCAGAGGAATATAAATCATCTACTATAAAGAAACATGCACATTAATTTTTATCGCAGCACTATTCACAACAGCAGAGACATACAATCAACCTAAACGCTCATCAATGACAGATTGGATAAAGAAAATGTGGTACATATATACCATGGAATACTGCAGCCATAAGGAAGAACACTATCATGTCTTTTGCGGGAACATGGATGGAGATGCAGGCTATTATCCTTAGCAAACTAACACAAGAACAGAAAATCAGATACTACATGTTCTCACTTACAAGTGCAAGCTAAGTGATGAGAACTCATGAAAACAAAAAAGGTAACAACAGACACTGGGGCCTACCTGAGGGTGGAGTGTGGGAGGAGGGAGAGGAGCAGAAAAATAAGTATTGGGTATTAGATTTAATACCTGGGTGATGAAATAATCTGTACAACAAACCCACGTTACATAAGTTTACCTATATAACAGATCTTCACATGTACTCCTGAACCTAAAATTAAACATTTTTCAATTAAAAAAGGCAGAGATTGTCAGATTAGATAAAAAAGCCGGAATCAAACACAGTGGTTTACAACAGATACCCTTCAAATATAAACTCATAGATAAGTTAAAAGTAAAAGGATGAAAAAGAGATTTTAAACAAACACTAACACAAACAAGCATAACGTAATATATTCAAATTTTTTAAAAATATAGATTGTTTAAGAAAAAAATTCTTAAACAGCAGACTACTAGAATTTTTTCCAATAAAAAGTTTCAATTTATCAGGAAACTATAAAATCTTAAATGCAATTACACCATAAAATGGAGCTTCAAAATTGACAGAACTAAAGAATAAAATAGACAAGTCCATAATTATGCTTAGTGATTTTAACATAACCTCTTTCTGTAATTAATAGAAAAAATAGACAGAAACTTGATAAGGATATGGAAGATTTAATCAACACTTTTAATCCAGTTAATGAAAATTCATAAAATATTTCAACTAACAACAGAATAGAAATTATTTATAATTTAACATCAAACAAAAACTTGGCCACTTCATAGAAAAAGAAACAAGAGTGGCTATGATCATATGAAAAGATTCTAAATATCTTTAGTCATCAGAAACATGCAAATTAAAAACTACCACACACCCATTAGAATTGTTAAAATTAAAAATTGTACAAGCAAGTATTCATAATGAGGTGGAGCAATTGGGACTCTCATGTCTTGCTGACAAGAGTGTAAAATGGTACAATTGCTTTGATAATTATTTGGAAATTTCTTATAAAATTAAACATACAGTAAGTCCTCACTTAACATTGTTGGTAGGTTTTGTAACTTTAAGCAAAATGATGTAGAGCAGGTCCTCGAATGATGTAAACTCCTTGTTTCCTTATAACATTGATGAGAAGAAAAATTGTCTTTGTTTTGAGTTTTGCTTAAAGTTGCAGTTTTCAAGAATCTCCTGATGATCTTAAGTGAGGACTTACTGTACACATATGCTATGGTCCAACAATTCTATTCCTAAGTATTTACCAAGATAAACAAAACAAAATTTAAAAAAACTACCCATATCCACAAAGCACTAGTTTAGAAATATTCATAGCAACTTTATAAATGATAGCACTAAAATATAAACAACTCAAATGTTTATCAATTTTAACCAGAAATATTTCCCTTTCCTCCCACAAAAAAAATAGTATGTCATAGCAGCCTTATACAATATTGCTATATATGTGTTGTATTGCTATACATATATATGTACATATTGCTATGTAAATATATGTACGCATATAGCAATATATGCATATGTGCCCATATAGCAATATAAATATATATACACATATAGCAATATGTGTATATGAACATATTGTATATATTGCATATACACATATAGCAATATGTGTATATGAACATATTGTATATATTGCATATACACATGTTGCCATATGCATATATATTTATATAGCAATATATGCACATATGCAGGGAATAAACAAAATTTTTTACATTCAAACAAAGGAATACCAGTCATCAACATAAGGACAGAATACATGTGCGCACACACACACACACACACATACACATCTCATGAAGTAATCTCACAGACATTGTATGGAGGGAATAAAAAAAGTTTACAATAACATCATGTTCAGTATGATTCTACTTCTAAGTAAAGGCAAAAGCTATCTAGGATTCTTAAAAAATCAGAAAATGGTTTCCTGGTGTTGTGTGAATAGGAGGTGGCATATAGACTAGAAAGGTACTTGAGGGAAGTTTCTGGGTAATGGAAGCTTATATCTTGATTTGTATGATGGTTTCAGGATACATATAGTCAAACTCATTGAAGTAGACACTTCAGATATTTGTGATTTTTATTATGTAATTTCTACCTCAAAATATTAATTTAAGAAAAATAAATCCCTCCACCTTCATTACATTCATCCTAAGATAACACTATTGAAATACATTATGGTTATGAGCACAAATGAAAAATTCTCAAATGATAGTCTATTGTGTTGCTTATATCAAATGAAGAAAAATGCAACCTACATAAATACAATAAATTCCAATCTCCATCTTCCCTCAGGAATGATTTCTAAGTAGTTATAATATTATGATAAATATTAGCATTTGTAGAAAAAAGCAATTAGAGAACCCACACTCATGCCTCTACGTAATAAATAAGATCATGGAAGTTCACATGATTAAGGTAAAATTGGTCTATTTGCATGAATATTTCTCGACTAGGACAGCTATCGATCACAAAAGTGATTTACACAGTTCATAAGTATAGTACACTAAACTTAAATTGAATGAATTCATTGTTCCCCCAATTCAACTTTTTTTAGTGGCATCACCTAAATTTTCATGTATACTCAAATGACAGTGATCAATTTTTATCATTTTACTGAGACTGAATGACTTTGAAAAACAACATTAATTCACAAATACATTGAGGAGAATAGTTTTGAGGATCAAGCAATGAAATCACAGATTGAAACGACAGTTTTAAAACACTTAAAGCTGGACATGGTGTATCATATCTGTAATCCCAGCACTTTGGAAGGCCAAGGTGAAAGGATCACTAGAGCCCAGGAGTTTGAGGTCAGCATGGGCAAAATAACAAGACCATGTTACTACTAAAACAATAGCAATTAAAAAAAAATTAGCCAGGCATAGTGGTGCCTGCCTATTGTCCCAGCTATTCATGAGGCTGAGGTGGGAGGATCACTTGAGCCCAGGAGTTTGAAGTACATATCACATTGGGAAATTATTATGAGTATTTTGAAAAAAATACAGTGTCAGAAAGTTTGGAAAGCTAAAAAAAGAAGAGAAAATGTTCAATCCAAAATTCTACAAACTTAACACAACATATACTAACTTTATGTGTATGTATTTGGTCTCTTCTAGTTGTTTTCAACGTGTGTTTTTCTTGAAATTAACAAAGAAAAATAGCATAGTCTCACATAAGTTTTATAATGATATTTCCTAATAGATTTTAAATTCCCCATTTTTGAGAATAGGCATGTGTAGAGACAGTGTGTATATGGGATATATCTGTATCTTCCTCTCACTCTTGCTGTGAACCTAAAGTTGCTCAAAAAAAAAGTCCTTAAAAATACCTCTGTTTTAAAAATACAATAATTTAATTGGTTATTAATGACCAATTAATGGCTAATAGTCATTAGCCTTTGCTAACTGAGTTACTGGGATCTTTATATTTTATTATTTGCAATGTTAAAATAATAGGTGTATTAAACAAATCACAAATATATTTCCTTATCTATTGTTTTCCTTTTAAATTTTTTTTTTTTAGAAATATGGTCTTACTAATGTTGACTATGCTGGTATGAAACTCCTGGGCTCAGCTTATATTTTTAATTTAAAAAGTATAACAATTTTTTTGTTTTGACACTTTTCCTTTTCAGCAATGCCCTGATCTTTAGACATTATATTTATCTCTCCTAAATAACTCAGAAATTGATACAATACCCCCCTCCAAAATAAATTATTTACAGGTTTAAAATAATCATTTCAGTTCCTGAAATGACTCCTGCTCTTTATTGACATATATACAGATATAGATTCATTTCAGGTATCTTTTAGGATCAACTTTTTTTTAAATAAACGTTTATTTAACTTCAAAATATTAACTCTAATTTATAGAGATTATTTTATTGTAAATCAAGAGGAGCATCTCTGAAGTAATTTTTCTTAATTGCTCAACAGTAATATCAATTCTATATTCTAAATAATTGTTACTTCCTGAATAATTGTTACTTTCTCCATTGACAAATAGTGCCTTTTTTTCTTTTTATTTTATGTTAGTTTTGAAATCAACTGTAGAGGTTATTTTTGGTTATTATGTTAAATTTCTTCATAAATTTAATTTCTTCTGATGTAATTCAAATATTACATCAGAAGTAACAAATGGCATTTCACCCACCATTTTTGTCAAAAGAAGGTCGCAAGATCAAGTGAGATGCCATTAACATAGAAATGGAAAATACTGCAAGAAGGTGAGACAGTGAACAATTGGGAAAAATATATATATATAGTTCATTACACCAACATTTAAGGCCATAGCCCAAATCCTGATTCTGTAACTACATGGCCTGTGAAAGCTAATTTAGCCTTTCTGAGTCTCAGCTTCCTTATTACAGTAATGAGCAGATAATCAACAAAAATCAATCAAACAATATGGAGACTATATTTAAGTGCTAAATTAAAGAGATAGTTGATTTTCCTTTTCTACATGTAGAAAACATCTACACTGATGATAATAAATACTTTTACTTATATGTTTAATTTTTTATTCTTTCAGTCTCATTTCCAAACCTTCTAAAACAATAGTAAAATTGATCTATACAAGGAGAACAGAAAGCAATTTAATCCTATCAATCAGAGACAAGATTCGGTCCTTTTTGAATTCTTTGTATTGCCCGTAAGATTCTTTCTTTTTCTTATAATTTTTTTGACATGGAACGGTAATTTGATTTAGGGCCTTTGTGCAATCTTTTTACATATGTTTAGTATTCATTTTACAAATATAAAATTCTTATAGCTAACAAATTTTTCATTCTGTGATTTATACTTATTTCTACTCAGTTCATTATTAGTGGAGATTGAGAGGAGTTGGTCACTCTCCTGAATGCAAGAATCTTTTGTTTTATTGAAGCTTTTCATTAGTCAGTTTCTTTAACATTATCTTGTAGCTCTTGTTTGACATTGTGAATAATCACTACCACTCTTCTCTGAACCTTATTTACATTTCCACGTATTTTTAAAGTTCTGAGGCAAAGAGAAGGAAAATACTCTAGTACTCATTTGCCTTAAACCATGTCTTGGAATTTAAATTTATTTGGTCATCATATAAATGTAAATCAATAAGTGGTAGAATTATTTTAAAATATGGAAAAATGAGTAAATAGAATATATTCATAACTAACAGTATAATCTTCTAGGTACAGCTTATTAATTGAAGATACAGGCAAATAGAAAAGAAGAGAAAAATCTATATGTAAAAAAGAAGACTGTTAGCCATCACCATGATTACATCTCCTTCCAAATATATCATCAAAAATATGTTTGTCCTGTTGGTTAGGGAGTATCATGATGACTTTTCTCTCATATCTTCCAATAATTCACAGACATACTAGAATATACAACTATTTTGACAATATGAGTAAATGGCTTCCTTTCCACTCTTGTTTTACTTCATTGTTATTTACCTTTTCTGAATGGCAATTTTGAAAAGGGATTAAAAACACAAGCTTCAAATATCAATTTGTCAGCATCCAAATTCTATAATCTTTAAATATTTTACATTTGACAATTATTTTTTCTGTGAAAAATAGGGATAATAGTAATATTTTTCTCAGAAAGCTAAAAGCAATAAATAAGCTAATTATTAGACACAGTATTTAGCATTGTGTCATAGAGAGGAAAGATTTAATAAATGTTACCTATGATTATCTAATGAACTCTATGAGAATTATCAAAATAAAGAAGTACCTGTTTCTTTTATACCTTCCATATTTCTTAAATCAGGGCTCTTCTTAAAGTAAATATATGTTGTCAGAATCAAATTTTTCCAGATCCTAAGGAATCTTAACTTCAGGGCCCTATACTTGCATTCCAGATAGGCTGCTTGTAGTTTGTATTTGTTTTTCATGGCAATTGGCATTGAGAGGCTGTGATAATTTTATATTTTCAATTTTATACATTTTTTTAATTAAATAAATAATCCTCCTACGAAAAGTAAAAAGAGCCAGGAATACGAAATCCTGAACCCAGAATGCCTGGTAAATTGTTCATATTATTTATACTTGCTGATGAATTAATGTGGATGTTAGTTTTAAAATGTTTCAAATGTTTCACTGTAAGTAACGTTATTTAACATTTATGAAAGAATTATTTGTATTCATTTATAATCATTTTTCCATTAATTCATATTATAGAATTGGAGTAAATGAAAATTTTATATCTACACTGAGTAAAAAAAAATTTCTGAATATGCATAGATATGAAAATGCAGTACTGTTTTCTACCATTCATTTAGGATCAGTATTTCTATGCCTAATATAACAATTGCTAAAAATATTTATAAATTGCTACCAAACCATAGTAGTTGTTTAACCAAGGAATAAACTCCAATTTTATAAACTTCAAAGGACTAAAATCTCCCTTGTGTCTTCCCTGAATCATTTACCCACTAGAGCATGGACATATTCCACTGTTGTATCAATATAACTAGCAGTGGAATAAAAGCAAAATGAATTACACCATTGATTTCAACTCAAATAATTCTTGAAAATGCTAATCAGTCATACCTAATCAAAATTTCATTTTCATAATTTTAGAAATGAATACTCCTTTTCATGTTGAGAAAATATATTTTATATTTACACTTCTATTTAAAAATCAGCAGTACTAAAAGCTCAGAAATGTATTATTATAAACACATAATTTTTCTTTTTGAATAGAAGACAATTATCTTCCCATCATTTCCTTACACTTACTTATGACAGAGTTATACAGTGGCATTTCCTGAATACATAGTGCTGGGAATACAATGCCACCTATTCATCTGTTTCTCATCCATAATATTTGTTCTGTTTGTGGTGATTTAAGTATTCTCTATGGCAATTTAGTTTTCTCTACCATGCTCTTCACTTTTTCTCAAAGTCCTTCCCTGAAGCGTTTTTAATGTCCATATTTCTGATAACAGTCTCTTAAAAATAATCTAGGCATTTTCTATCATGGGCTCCTCAAAAGTATTCCAGTTTCTTCCCACTGTTCAATTCCAAAGCCACTTACACATATTTTAGGTGTATGTCACAGCAGAACCTCACTCCTGGTACCAAATCTGTATATTCTCCTATTGCCATAACAAATTACTACTAATTAGTATTTAAAACAATGATTACTTGTTACGTAACCCTTTCTATGGGTCAGAAGTCCAGGCTGCTCACACTCAGATGGCTGCTCTGCCTTGATTACCCAGGGCCAAAATCAGTAGATCCATTGGGCTTATCCATTATCTGAAAGCTCTGAAGAAGAATATTCTTCCAGGCTCATTCCGGTTGTCGAAATTTCATTTCCTTGTCATACTTTGCATGTCGCATTCTGTCTCTTCAAGCCAGAAACAATAAGCATAATCCTTGTGCTTCGAATTTCTGACTTTTTTCTTCTCTTCTCCTCTTCTTATTTTTAAACAGCTTATAAAGAGGTTATACTTAAGGCAAGTCCTGAAGTTTGGGCAGTATAAACGCTAGAAAAAAAAATTTTGTGAAAAACTATCACTCTGTGCAAACTTCTTGGAAGGAAATACCCTGGATTTTTTGGGAGAAGCAGCATAAAATAAGGTTGGAATGACAGTCAGGGGCCAGATTATAAATAATTCCAAAGTACAGCAAATATATTTTGATTCTGATCACAAATAATATTGGAAATCATTTTAAGTTTTAAGTTGTGTGTGTGTGTGCCTGTGCTTATAGTATGTGTTGATTGTGAGAAGCACAATTAAATGTGTTGTTTTATATGAATCTCTAAGAATTCCTTTTATATTCTGTATTCAATACCTTTTCTAGTTTTTGTCAACAATCTAATCTTCTGGCTTTATTTTTTGTCAACTACCTTCTGTCTGTGTGTCTTTATGTTTCACCTTCTCAATAGTGTCTTTAATAAACAGAAATTCCTACTTTTAACTATTTTCTTTATGCTAGTGATTTTTGGTCCTGTTGGAAGATTTATTTTCTTGCCACAAATTTGTTAAGGTATTTCCTTGTGTTACCGTTATTTTGCTGCACATTTAGATCTTCAATTATCTAGAATTGATTCTTGTACTTAATGTAAACTGAGTCAAGTTTCATTGTTTTTAATACAAATGATACAGTATCACCTTTTGTAAAGTAGTAGTATTTTGAAAATGTTTGAAAATGTTTAGATTTAGAAAAATCTAAATCAAAAGATACAGTGGTCTCCAGTTGTTTTGTTTTGTTTTGTTTCTTGTAAAGTCTTTGTCTAGTTTTGGTATAAAGATAAGTTTGACTTCAAAAAATGAGATAAAAAATGTTCCCTCGTCTTCCATTTTTTCACAAGAGTTTGTGAAGGACTATTGTTAAATTTTCTTTAAATATTTGGTAAAATTCACCAGTGAAGCTACTGGGCTCTTTATTTAGGGATTTTTTTGTTATGATTTCATTCTTTTTGTTTACTATGTGTCTAAGCTTTATTATGTGATCTTGAATCTTCAGTCTTATTAGCACATGTCTTTCTGGAAATCTGTAGATTTCCTCTGGATTATCTAATTTGTTAGCATACAATTGTTCATGGTATACCCTTTTGATTTTACTTCTCTCCCTGTAATGTCAGAAGTGATTCTGATTCTTTCATTTCTAATTTTTCTAAGTTGTCATCTCTCTTATCTTACTTGATCAGTTTAGACAAAGTTATGTCAATTTTGTTGATCTTTCAAAGAATCAACTTTTGATTTGATTGATTCCTTTATTTTTTATTATCTATTTTATAATTTCCAAATTTGTCTTTAAAATTTCATTCCTTCTGCTTGCTTTGAATCTGTACTGCTCATGTGTCACCCAAAAAAGGTTTGCTAAATTTTGTCTTCCCTCTCAATGTGCTAGATTCAGTTTGCTTTTCAATTTTCTCATAATTGCTTTTTATATTTTATCCACAGCTGTAGTAATAATAGCAGGAAGTTAGGTTGTAGTGATTATACTTTACCTTGACTGACAACAGAAGTCCTCTGTGTTTTTAACTTAATCTGGATAAATATTATTATTAGTTCTCCTTAGGAGAGAAATTCCATGGTTTCTTTTTTCTTAGCTCAGGATATGGATAGATGTATGATTTTAAATAAGAAAGTCTCCGTTAAGCAGATATTTTTAAATCTATGTTTTAATGTAGTAGAAAATCACATATTTTAGTATTATAAATTCTGTGAGTGCTCTGTTATCTTTAGAGCTAGAGTTATTGATATTCATTGGTAGGATTCTTAAGGCCTACCCTTCTGAAATTTCAGGAACTATAGTTTTAAGTTTTAAAGGCCACTTAATTTAAGTTATCAATTTGAGAGTTACGTTTGAGAACAACTTACTGAAGAAAAGGAAGCTCTATAGTAGACATTTTATATTGGAAAGCAATGCTTATTATTTTATTAAAATATAAAAAATTCCAAGAGAATGGTTAACATAAAATAACATATAGCAGAAAATGTGCTAACGTTACAATTCCCACAGCCTATAATGAAAGAAAAACTTTTGGTTCCCATAGTTACTCTAATCTACTGAATGTCACATTCTTTTGTCCACTTTAGCTAAACTTTTATAAAAATTAAAGGTGTCAGAAGCTAAGAAACAGTAGGCTAAGATGAAAATAAGTATCAAATCTGAAGGATGATTATAGTCAACCATAAAGCATAGGAAAGCTGTGATCTGACTAATATCAGCAATTAGAGTAATTAAGCAATAGTTTTAGATTTTACTTTAGACACAAATACAAAGAATCATATTTTTACCACTACACACCAAAAAATGCAAAGTACAAAGTCAAACCACAAACAAGGCGAAACTATTTGCAACACATGTATCAGAAAATGTTACTATATATAAAACACATAAAAATCTTTTACATATAAATAGCTTGATAAAAAAGGGAGAAATTACTGAAATCAGCGAAATAAAAAATAAGCTATCCAGTTGTCTTCTGACCATGTCAAGAGATCATCAATGTCATTAGTTATTTGGGAAATGCAAATTAAAATAAAAATCAGATATAATACACATACACCAAAATAGTTAAAACTAAAAATACTGATAACAATAAGGGTTGGCAAGGATGTAGAACAACTGGAACCATAAAACCTCGTTAATAGGAATAAAAAGATACTCAAATTTGAGAATTTATTGGTAATTTCTAACACATTTAAATATACAGGCTGAGTATCCTTTATTCAAAGTTTCTTAGATTTCAGATTTTTTGTTATTTTGAAATATCTTGGAGATGGTACCCAGTCTGAACATAAAATTTATTTATGTTTTACATATACATTTTTACACATAGCAAAAATATAATTTTATACAATATTTTAAATAATTTTGTGCATGAAACAATGTGTGTGTACAGTGAACCACCAAAAAGCAAAAGGTGTTACTATATCATTCACCTAGTGGACAATCTGTGGTTGTTTGGTGTCATTCCTGACTCCAAATTTATATGTAACCCATAAGCAAACATTTTTTAAATTTTGACCAGTTTTTGTATTATTGTCTATGAAAAAGAAATCTCATCTCTACAAAAAAAAAAAATTACAAAAATTAGTTGGACATGGTGGTATGCAACTGTTGTCCCAGCTACTTGAGAGGCTGAGGTGGGAGAATTGCTTGAGCCTGGAAGGCAGAGGAGGTTGCAGTGAACCAAGACAATGCCACTGTGCTCCAGCCTGGATGATAGTGATAGCCTGTCTTAAAATAAAAAAAAAAAAAAAAATGAGAGACTCTTGTGCATTCTTCAATATGTCATTGCATTTTCCAACTCGAGAATTTCTGCTTGATTTTTTAAAATTATTTCAAATTCCTTGTCAAATTTACCTGATAGGATTTGAATTTCTTCTCTGTGTTACTTGAACTTCTTATAATTTCCTCAAAGTAGATATTTTGAATTCTCTGAATGGTCACATATCTCTTGTTTCTCTGGGATTGGCACCTGGTATCTTATTTAGTTCAATTGGTAAGGTTATGATTTCATGAATGGCATTGATACTTTTGGATGTTTGTTGGTGTCTGGGCATTTAAGAGTTAGGTATTCACAGACTTCGCAGTCTGAGTTTGTGCTCACACTTCTTAAGAATGCTTTATAGGTGTTTTATGGGACTTAAGTGCTGTAATCCAAGTTTTGACTACTGCATTCATATCTGCCTTGAGGGCAAGCCAATCCCAGTAATGCTGTAGTTCTTGCAGAATCATAGAGGTACCACCTTGGTTTCTTGGATAAAATCTAGAAGAATTACCTTGATTACTAGGCAAGGACTCTTGTTCTCCACTCTTTCTTTCAAACAGAGTCAGTCAGTTTCTCTGTCTCTCTATCTCTGTGCTGAGCTGCCTGGAACCAGGGGTGGGGTGACACAAGCGTCCTTGTGGCTGCTACCACTGGGACTGCACTGAGTCAGACCCAAAGCCAGCACAGTACTGTGTGTGCCTCACCCAAGGCCTGCTGTAACCACTACCTGGCTACTGCTGAAGGCCCCATAGCTATACAATCAGCATGTGGTAAAGCAAGCCAACCTATTTCCTTTCTTTCAGGTAAGCAAGTTCTCCAGGGCTCTGGGAATGTCCTTCTTTTGAAAAGTGGCTATTCATGTCCTTTGCCCACTTTCAGATGGGCTTGTTTGTTTTTTTGCTTGTAAATTTGTTTAATTTCCATTTAGTTTCTGGTCATATTTGACCTTTGTTGGATGCATAGCTTGCAAATATTTTTTCCCATCATCTGTAAGTTGTCTGTTTACTCTGTTAAGTAAAATTTGTTTCTTTTACTGTACAGATTTTTAGTTTAATTTGTTACAATTGCTTTTCACATCTTTATCATAACATCTTTGCCAGAGTATATGTCCAGAATGGTACTTATTAGATTATATTATAGAATTTTTATAGTTTTAAGTTTTCAGTTTAAGTCTTTATCATCAGTTGATTTTTTATATGACATAAAAAGGGGTCCAATTTCAGTCTTCTGCATATGGCTAGCCAATTATCAGAGCACCATTTATTGAATAGCGAGTCTTTTCCCCATTGCTTGTTTTGGTCAACTTTGTTGAAGATGAAATGGTTTTACGTATGTGGCACTATTTCTGATATCTCTGTTCTGTTCCATTGGTCTATGTGTCTGTTTTTGTGGAAGTATCATGCTGTTTCAGTCACTGTAGGCTTGTAGTATAGTTTGAGGTTGGGTAAGATGATGCCTCCAGCTTTGTTCTTTTTGCTTAGGATTGCCTTGGCTATTCGGATTTATTTTTGGTACTATTTGAATTGTAAAATCGGTTTTTGGAATTCTGTGAAAAATGTCATTGGTTTTTTGCAGTAGTTTCAGTAGGATGGTACCAGCTCTTCTTCATACATCTGGTATATTGTGGCTGTGAATCTGTCTAGTCCTGGGCTTTTTTTGGTTGGTAGGGTTTTTTTTTTTTATTTATTACTGATTCACTCTGGAACTTTTTATTCTTTTATCCAGGGATTCAATTTCTTCCTAGTTCATTCTGGGGAGGGTGTAGGTATCCAGGAATAATTCTGTTACTTCTGGATTTTCTAGTTTATGTGCATAGAGGAGTTTATAATAGCCCATAGGGATTTTTAAAAAAATTCTATGGTGTTATTGGTAATTCCACTTTGTCATTTCTAATTGTGTCTATATGGATCTTCTGGGGTTTTTTTTCTTTATTACTCTAGCTAGTGGTCTATCTTATTAACTTTTTTTAAAGAACCAGTTTGTGGATTATTTGATCTTTTGTATAGTTTTATGTCACAGTTTCCTTCAGTTCACTTCTGACTTTGGTTATTTCTTGTCTTCTGCTACTTTTGGGGGGTAATTTGCTCTCGTTTCTTTAGTATCTCTATTTGTGATATTAAGGTATTGATTTGAGATCTTCCTAACTTTTTGATTTGGGCATTTAGTGCTATAAAGTTCCCAGTTAACATTACCTTAGCTGTGTCCCAAGAGATTCTGGCATGTTGTATATTTGATTTCACTACATGCAACATTTCTGCTTTAATGTTCTTGAAATGGTTTGGCTGTGCCCCCACCCAAATCTTATCTTGAATTCTCAGCTTTTATGGGAGGGACTCGGTGGGAGGTAATTGAATCATGGGGGCAGGTTTTCCCATGCTGTTCTCATAATGGTGAATAAGTCTCAAGAGACCTGATGGTTCTATAAATGGAAGGTTCCCTGCACAAAATCTCTCTCTTTGCTTGCTGCCATCCACATAAGACATAACTTACTCTCCTTGCCTTCCACCATGATTGTGAGGCCTCCCCAACCACGTGGAACTGTAAGTCAATTAAACCTCTTTCTTTTGTAAATTGCTCATTCTCAGGTATGTTTTATCAGCAGTGTGAAAACAGACTAATACAGTTCTTATTTACCCAAAAGTCATTCAAGAGAAGGTTGTTTAATTTTGAAACAATGATATGGTTTTGAGCAATTTTCTTAGTATTGATTTCACTTTTATTGCACCATGGTCTGAGAATGTGGCTGATATAATTTGTTTGGTTTTTTTTGTTTTTTTAATTTGCTGAGGATTGTTGTGTGGCCAATTGTGTGGTCAATTTTAGAGTACGTGTCATGTGGTAGAGAGGATAATATATATTCTGTTGTTTTAGGGTATCTGTAGATTTTCATTTTGTCCATGTGGTCAAGTATTGAGTTCAGCTCATGAATTTTTTTTTTTTTTAATTTTTTTGCCTGATGATCTGTGTAATACTGTCAGTAGGGTGTTGAAATCTCCCACTATTTTTGTTTGGGAATCTAACTCTCTTCATAGGTCTTTCAGAAGTTTCTTTATAAATCTTGGTGCTCCTGTGTTTGGTGCATGTATATTTATAATAGTTAGATCTTTTGTTGAATTGAACCCCTTACTGTTATGTAATGCCCTTCTTTGTCTTTTTTATACCTGCTGGTTTAAAGTCTATGTTGTCTGAAATTAGGATAGCAACCATAGCTTTTTTCTCTTTTTCATTTGTTGGGTGATATGCTTTGGCTCTGTGTCCCCAACCACATCTCATGTTGAATTGTTCCAAGTGTTAAAGGAGAGGCCTGGTGGAAGGTGACTGAATCATGGGGGTGGACTTCCCCCTTTGCTGTTTTCATGATAGAGTTCTCACAAGATCTGATTATTTGGAAGTGTGTAAACCCCCCCCCCCCTCACTGTCTTTCTTCTGCTCTACCATGTGAATATTGTACCTGGTTCCACTTCACCTTTCGTCATGATTATATGTTTCCTAAGGTCTCACCAGCCATGCCTCTTATACAGCCTGCCAAACTGTGAGTTAATTCAATCTCTTTTCTCCATAAACTGCCCAGTCTCAGGTATTTCTTTCTAGCATATAGCAGTATGAAAACAGACTAATATACTTGGTAGATGTTTCTCCATCCTTTTATTTTGAATCTATGTGTGTCATGGCATGTGAGATGGATCTCATGAAGGCAGCATACTACTGGACCTTGCTTCTTATCCAACTTGCTACTCTGTCTTATTTAATTGGGGTTTTTAACCTATTTACATTCAAGGTTAGTATTGATATGTATGGATTTAATTCTGCCATTGTCTTATTAGCTGGTTATTATGCAGACTTGTTTGTGTGGTTGCTTTTTAATGTTACTGGTCTGTGTACTTAAGTGTGTTGTTGTAGTGCATGGTAAAGATCTTTCCTTATGTAGCACTTCCTTCAGGGCCTCTTGTAAGGCAAATCTAGTAGTAACAAATTCTCTCAGATTTGTGTGTCTGAAAAGGATCTTACTATTTCTTATTGTATGAAGCTTAGTTTGGCAGTATATAAAATTCTTGGTTGGAAATTCTTGTCTTTAAAAATGCTGAATATAGGCCCCCAATATCTTCTGGTTGTAGGCTTTCTGTGGAGGTCCACTGTCAGCCTGGTGGGGTTCTCTTTGGTTCAGTGACTTACCCCTCCTCTTTAGCTGCCTTTGACATTTTTTCTTTCATTTTTACCTTGGAAAATCTGATGAATATTTGTCTTTGGGATGGTCTTCTTGTGTTGTGTCTCACAGGTACTCTGCATTTCTCAAAAATAAATGTTAGCCTCTCTAGCAAGGTTGGGAAAGTTTTCATGAATAATACTCTGAGATATGTTTTTCATGTTACTTCTTTCTCCCTATCTTTTTCAGGGATGCCTGTGAGTCCTAGCTTTGGTCTCTTAATATAATTCCATATTTCTTATAGATTTTATTTGTTCTTTATTCTTTATTTTTATCTGACTGTCTTATATCAGACATCCAGTCTTCAAGCTCTGATATGCTTTTCACAGCTTGATCTGTTCTGCTGTTAATATTCATGATTGCATCATTAAATTCTTGTAATGTGTTTTTGAGCTGTGTAAAATCATTTATACAGCTTTTTAATAATGACTATTTATCTGTTACCTTCTGTATCATTTTATTGTAAACCTTAGATTTCTTGAATTGGGTTTCAACTTTCTCCTGAATCTCAAAGATCTTTGTTCCTCTCTGTATTCTGAATTCTGTTTCTGTCATTTCACCCATTTCAGCCAGGTTAAGAATCATCGCTGGGAAACTACTGCAGTCATTTGGAGGAAAAAGATATTCTGGCTTTTTGTGTTGCCAAAATTCTTATGCTGGTACTTTCTCATCTTTATGTGCTGGTGTTCCTTTAAATGCAATGTAAATTGAGCACAGTTATTAGACTTCTTTTCTCAGTGTTTTCAGGGTGTGAGGCTTTGTGCAGTGTCTTTACTTGTAGCTGAATTATTGTCCTTGGTTTCACAGGGTGGGTTGAGGTTATATTAGCAATGTACTTTTGGTGTTGAAGCTTCGGGCTGTGATCCAGTAGATGATGCTTAAGCATAATGGCACATCTGATACACATCTGATATCCAAAACTCTGAATAAACTTATAAAATATTCTTTAACTTTGCAGACTTTTTCTGGTATTATATTCCACACAGTAGCTGTTAAGAGCATAACTTCTGGAGCCAGACTACCTGTGTGGAAATTCTGACTCTTCCTGTTCCAGTTTCTACTGCTGTGTAACATATACTTTAAAATTTATCAGTTTAAGACAATTACAACTGACCCATGAACAACACCAGTTTGAGCTGTCTTGGTCAACTTATATGCAGATATTTTTAACCTTGCTGTGGATCAAAAATACTGTATTATTTTTGTGATGTGAGGGATGTGAAAGCTGATTATGCAGAAGATCAACTTTTTATATTTTGCATATTGGGTTGCACAGAGTCAACTGAGGGATTTGAGTATGCCTGGATTATGGTATACAGCAGAGGTCCTGGAACCAATCCCCTACATTCACTGAGGGATGGCTGTATTTTATTATGCTCATGGGTGCAGTGGGTCAGTAATTTGGACAGGACACAGTTGAGGAGACTTGTCTCTGCTCTGTGAAATCTGAATTTTAGGTGGGCAAACTCAAAGGCTGGGCATACGATAGTTGGTGGGGCCAGAAACATATGAAGACTCATTCACTCATCTGTCTGGCATCTGGGATGATAGAACTATTAGACTAGAGCTAATGCAAATCTAAATGCCTACATTTGGCCTCTTCTAAGCTGTTACTCACAGCATGGTATTAACTACTCACAGGCCTACTCAGGGCTCCAAGTGCCAGTGTTACAGGAAATACAGTGGCAATTGCATCGCTGTCTTAAACCTAACCTCCTCTGAAGATATACATTATACCATTTATCACCGTCTATTATTATGAGTCACCCAAGTTGCCCTTTGAAGAAATATCACTTATAAAAATTGCTACAATCTCCTAGAGTTCTCTAATTTTGAGCAAATTGCCTAACTTTATTAGTTGAGTTTTTTTAAACTATAGAAGAAATATAATAATAATAATTACTTCATAGATTTTTGTATTTAGTGAATTAGTATGTGTAAACTATTTGGACAGTCTATAGCATATTGCAAATGTTCAAAAAGAATTTAACAATTATTTATATTATCACAATTATTTTAAGAGAGCAAGTAAAGACAGTGGGACCCACCTCTGGGAGGTTTGCTTTCCTTAGTATTGTTAATTCATTAAAAAATCTATTAATAGAATTAAATAATAAAGAATAAACATAAACAATATTTATTTATATAAAAGGAATGTCTAAGGGTAAAGAAAATGAATGCTTCAGAAAAATATAAAAGATCTAGATTTACAATAACAATATATTAGACTACTATTAAAGAGGCTTTATAAATGCACGATTCCAAGTAATCATTTTACAAATGATAAGAAGCATTCATGAGCAAGTTTAAATGATTTGCCTTACATCAATGGGAGAGTGAGGATGGGAACCA
Source organism: Homo sapiens (assembly GCF_000001405.40). NCBI lineage: Eukaryota > Metazoa > Chordata > Mammalia > Primates > Hominidae > Homo > Homo sapiens. Next base: position 65,902,386 of record NC_000006.12, on the reverse strand, counting down.
AGATCCCTAAGGCCACTGTAGAGTGGCTTATCCTTTACACTATAGTGCTGCAATTTTAATAAATATTTGTTAATTTTTTAACTTTGAATATCTGTGAATTAAATGAAGAGGAAAGAGCAAAAAGAGGAGATAAATTTACTAGTTTCAAATTCCTTTATCACATGAGTTCATCACTTGTTAATAACATAGGAACTTTCTTCTAACAAAGAAAAGAAATATTTTTGCAACAGAAACTACCAGAAGTGGTTATTTTGACACATTCTTTAGTATGTGCTAAATATTTTTAAATACATTACATGTAAATGTTATCCTACTGCAATAATTCAAGATCCACTCTCGAAATATCTTGCTTCGTAATATCTGGACTTCACCTAGGCAAACTTAAAGGCTGGATATGCAAGGGTTGATGGGGCTGAATTTCTTATGGGAGAATATTTTTATTTAAAAAAATAGAATAACATTGACAAAATTTAAACATTTTTCAAAGTAATAACTACAATCTATGGTCAGAAATATCCTTTCACTGGTATTAAATATCTTTAACACAAAATAATGATTTAAATATAATGATAATTATTGGTCTAAATATTTATAGACATGAAATTTTGTATTTGACTGAGAAATAGCTACGGAACACAATTAGAAACTAAATAAAAATTTAACATAACTTTATTTTATTGCAATTACTGAAATAAATTGCCAAGGTTATAAAGTTACAAGCTTTTTATATATTTTGTGGAAGTTGACACCTGTTACACTAGACCTTTATGTTTGAATAAGGACAGATAAAGTGATACAACCACAGGAATATAAATATTTATTGCAAAATATTATTTTGCTATAGAAAATAACTAATAAACACCTTATTTCTACATTTACTGAGTATGCTAAGTTTTCATTGTATAAATCATGTTTTTGTTTTAATCATATATATCAGCATATGAAAATCATGACTGAACTTATTCATGGTAATTTAAATTAGACATACAATTTAAATATACTTATGAAAAAATATCATCATTTAATAATGGTCACTTATGACCAATAACATAAGCACAACTCTTAGGTAATCAAATATATGATTACTTTTTTAATCTTAAAGTATAAAATACAGAACTCTTTGTGATTATCTTATATAGCTTCAATGGTATAGATTGAAAATATTATAGATATTAGATAATAATCTAATAAATGCAAGTATGCATCCCACTTATGACCTACTATGTAACAGATGTGCTCTAATTATTTCCCTAAAATGCTAAGTAATCATAAATGTATGTTGGAGTAACCAGAAAAGTTATCAGGTATATACTAGTTAAACATTTTTCTCCCCCTTTTTTTATTTTCTAAGATGACTAAAATAGATGAAGTCACTTCCCAATTATCAGATCATGCAAGTTGTCTCCCAGGAGAGCAGTATACCTGGGCAGAAAGGTAAGCAACATTCTAAGAGAGAAAGGACAGAGATCACCAAACATTTCCCTTTTGAGGTAAACATGGACCAGGTGGGTGATTATTTTGTTAACCTAAATAACAAAAGGGGCTCTCTAATATTTTTTAAAAGCTACTTATTTGGAAATAGGATACTGCAATGGGGATAATCCTGCCATAACAAACTATACGCATATTCAGAGAATAAAGAAGACAAAGGTTTTTTTAAATAAAAAATGAGGAGGATTACATAATTGTTTTAAAATTGTTATCTTTGGATACAAAGATGAATAATAAGGGTGACTAGAGTCTGTGGTTGGACAGACAGTTGCTCAATAGATGTCCTTGCAGAAGTATTTTTTTAGTAAGGTTGCAATGTCCTTTGTACAAGATTGTGTTTTTTGCAGAGTTTTTTTGTGAGAGTTTTTGTTATCAATCATACAAGCATAAGAACATTCTCTTCATAGCCTTTCTGGCTCCATTTGCAAGGACAATTTTAACATTAATGACTCCATTTTAACTTTGACAACCTCCGAAATTTTCAGTAATAGCTGTGATAAACCCAGCCTAAATCCTTTTTAATGCAACTTTGCTGCTCTGACATATGAACAGTAGCTGTAGAAAGACAAATGTCTCAAAAATAACTGTGAGTACAGCTTTGCAAATATTTCATCTAGAAATACCTCAAAGTATTCTTGAGGGAGGCTTGCCAGCAAAAGCAGAACCATTCTAGGGTAAAGGAGATTAAATGGTTCAAATTCCATAAATGTCTTTGGGTCCCCAACTTTTTACAGGTAAATAAGCTGGCTGAGAAAGCTATCCAATGGACTGGGTAGCTTCTTTTATAGAGCAATATATAAGAAATGCCCAAGGCTCCAATTGCATAGCATAACAAGGCCATGATTAAGGATTATTTACTACTTATGAAGTAAATTGGTCTATTGCAGTCATCTTTTTGTATCCTTTGGGGGATTGCTTCCAGAACCCAACTCCTTCCCCTAGGTACTGAAATCCATGAAATCTCTAGTACCTTATTTAAAATAGCATAGAATGTGCATATGATCTACATCCCCCCACATACTTCAAATCATCTCCAGATTACTTATAATACCTAATACAACACACACATATTAATTCATTGAATGGATTCAATGTAGTACTTGGCAAACGGCAAATTTAAGTTTTGTTTTTTTTTAATTTTGTGTATTTTTTTCTAAATATTTTTGATCCTTGGTTTGTTGAATTCATGAATGCAGAACACATGGATATGGGGGCCAAACTGTATATCTAGCAGGTTTTCAGAATTTTTTTGGAGGAGTGATTGCTGTGTACCCTCCATTCTCCCTTCTTTTGAATAGGAGTATTGTGATAACATCTCCCTTTCTCTTCATTACATGTTGAGAATGTGTGGGAAGATGGCTTGCATTTTGAATTCACAGATCTATGAATTAAGAGAGGAGCTGCATTTTAGAAGTTTATCTCAATATGAAGTAATACCAAGATTTTGGACTTTGAACATGATGCCATGCTTACATAAGACTTTCAGAGTTCTTAGGGTCGGTGAGTATATTTTGCATGTAGCATTGATATGATTAATTGCAGCAAACTAAGAGCTATCATGTATTGGTTGTACCAATGGCTGTACTTATTTCTCTTCCCACATGCATGCCACTTTTCAATATGATTTTGTAGCTCCTTGCATTAAAATTCTGGAATTGCCTTCTCATTCACTTTGAACAATAAAATTATGTGGAAGTGACACTGAGCTGGTTCTAAGCCAAAGCCTAAAAAAATATGACTATTGCCTCTCCATCTTTTGGAAATCTACACAATCACATGAGTTGAAGCCAACGCTAACCTACTGGATTATAAGTGGTACATGGCTCAATCACCTCCATCATCTGAGCCATCAGTCATCTTAAGAGTTAGAAAACCTACTAATATGCTGTTGACTTCAAACATACATATGAAGAAGTCCTGCTGAGGCCAGTTTAAATTTTAGACCAACAGAATCATAGGCTAATGAAATGGATGTTTTAAATCACTAAACATTGTGATAGTTTTATTTTCAGCAATATTGACTGATACTGATAATGACTGACGGATTGAAATAGTTTCAGATTAGGTGTGCTCTCAGGAAAGGGCACAGGAATGAATAAAGAAACTCACCATGAGAATAAGTAATGACTTTGCGGGTGACCCAGGTACAATAACTGAGCCAATTATTTTAAAGTAAAGTTAGCTGCAGTGGCACAATGTGGCTGAGTTCAGCATAGTTTTCCCTCTGGCTATCCTGACATTACTGAGCATGCTATAGACATGTGAATAAAAAGCTGAAAAATAAAATATGACATTATTTAAAGTATCATCTAATGATGGCACAAGGCTTAAATGTTACCCTAAAGAGAAAGACCTCCTCCTCTTACCACTTCCCCATGAGGAAATATGCTAACCTCACTAACTTGGTCATTACTAGAATAAATAATAAAGTAGGGACTTGTGAAAACTTTCTATTTATGGCAACAATAGCATATGGCCACAACAGCAGTAAAATGACAAATGTTAGGGGAAATTATTAGACCTTCAGATGTTCTTTCCTTGTCCTATGGGCACTCTTCCCTGTTCCTCTCACTAAGTATAGTATAGTATAGTATAGTACTTCGTGAGAGAAACAGGCAAGAGTGCCCGTAAGACAAGTAAACACAATTTTAGAACTTTAAAAGGAAAAATCAAACCACCTACTTGTATTTGTTCATTGCTAGTCTCACCTCAGCTCCTTGAACTGAATCTGGCTATTAGCATATATTCCAAAAATATTTGTTGAATGAATGTTCATAATATATGATATAATGAATGTTCATAAATATATGAACATTAAAAAGTGATATGATCTTCCTTTGAATTTTATACTGGTGAGATAAAAACATTAATCATAATAACAATATGCAAGTTATGTAAGGCTATAAAAATAATCATTTTCCTAAAACAATAAAAATATACAGTTTTTTATACTTGGTACTTCAAAAAGTACCAAAATATACATTGCTAATCCAATTATAAATGAAACTGTATTAAGTATCCAACACTGTGTCAAGAAATAGATATCATTTTCCCTATTTTAAAAACAACAAAAATTAGAAGAGATTAAGTGGTTTACTCAAGGGCAAATAATTAGTCAATCATGGATTTTGAACTCAGATCCTGATATGGTTTTGTTCTGTGTCCCCACCCAAATCTCATCTCAAATTGTAATCCCCATGTATCAAGGGAGGAACCTGGTGGAAGGTGATGGAATCATGGGAGTGGTTTCCCCATGCTTTTCTCATGATAGTGAGTGAGTTCTTATGAGATCTGATGGTTTAAAAGTGTTTTGCACATCCGCCCACCCCCAATACTGCTGCCAAGTAAGATGAACCTTACTTCCCCTTCGCCTTCTCCCATTATTGTAAGTTTCTTGAGGCCATCCCAGCCACTCAGAATTCTGAGTCAATTAAACCTCTTTTATTTAAAAATTACCAAGTATCAGGCAGTTCTTCACAGCAATGTGAAAACAGACTAATACATAAATTGGTACCAGGAAGGGGGTACTGCTATAAAGATAAACTGAATATGTAGAAGTGACTTTGGAACTGGGTAACAGGCAGAGGTTGGAATAGTTTGGAGGGTTCAGAAGAAGACAAGAGTATGCGGAAAAGTCCTAGAGACTTGTTGAATGGTTTTGACCAACATGCTGCTAGTGATATCGACAATGAAGTCCAGCCTGAGGTGGTCTCAGATGGAGATGAGGAAATTTTTGGGAACCAGAGTAAAAGGTCACTCTTGCTATGTTTTAGCAAAGAGACTGGTGGCATTTTGGCCTCACCCTAGAGATCTGTGGAACTTTGAACTTGAGAGATTGTTTAGGGTATCAGTTGGAAGAAATTTCTAAGCAGAAAACTGGCATTTTCTGAAAGTGTAGTCCCATATGTGGAAACACAGAGGTTATCTGAAACTGGAAATTTTGTTTAAAAGGAAAGCAGAGCATAAAAGTTTGAAATATTTTGGCCTCACCCTAGAGATCTGTGGAACTTTGACCTTGAGAGATTGTTTAGGGTATCAGTTGGAAGAAATTTCTAAGCAGAAAACTGGCATTTTCTGAAAGTGTAGTCCCGTATGTGTAAACAAAGAGGTTATCTGAAACTGGAAATTTTGTTTAAAAGAAAAGCAGAGCATAAAAGTTTGAAATATTTGCAGCCTGACCATTCAGTAGAAACAAAAAACCCATATTCTAGGGAGAAATTCAAGTCAGATGCATAAATCTGCATAAATAATGAGGAGCTGAATGTTAAGACAATGGGAAAAGTGTCTCCAGGTTATATGAAAGATCTTTGTGTCATCCCCACCCATCACAGGCCTGGAGACCTAAGAGGGAAAAATGGTTTTGTGGGTCAGGCCAGGGCCTAGCTGCTCTGTGCAGGCTTAGGACATGGTGCCCTGAATCCCAGCTGCTCCAGCTCCAGCCATGGCTCAAACAAGCAAAAGTGCAGCTCAGGTCGTTGCTTCAGAGGGTACAAGCCCCAAGCACTGGCAACTTCCAAGTGGTGCTGGGCCTGTGGGCATGCAAAAGACAAGAGGTGATCTTTGGGAACTTCTGCTTAGATTTCAGAGGATGTATGGAAAGGCCTCAATATCCAAGCAGAAGTCTGCTGCAGGGGCAGAGCCCTCATGGAAAACCTCTACTAGGGCAATACAGAGGAGAAATGTGTGGTTGGAGCCCCAACACTGAGTGCCCATTGGGGCAGTGCCTAGTGGAGCTGTGAGAAGATGGCCACCATCCTCCATACACCAGAAAGGTAGATCCATTGACAGCTTGCACTGTGCACTTGGAAAAACAGCAGACACTCAATGCCAGCCTGTGAAAGCAGTCATGGGGTATGTACCCTGAAGAGCCACAGAGGCAGAGCTGCCCAAGTCCTTGGGAGCCCACCCCTTGTATCAGCATGCCTAAGTGTGAGACATGGAATCAAAGGAGGTCATTTTGGAGCTTTAAGATTTAATTGCTGACCCACTGGATTTTGGAATTTCATGAAGCCAGTAGCTCCTTCATATTGGCCAATTTATCCCATTTGGAATGGGAGCACTTATCCAATGCCTATACACCCATTGTATCTTGGAAGTTACTAACTTGCTTTTGATTTTACAGGTTCCTAGGTGGAAGGGACTTGCCTTGTCTCACATGAGAGTTTGGATTGCAGACTTCTGAGATAATGCTGAAATGAATTAAGAGTTTGGGGTACTGGTTGGGAAGGCACGATTGGTTTTGAAATGTAAGAGGACATGAGATTTGGTCGGGGCCAGGGGTGGAATGATATGGTCTGGCTCTGTGTCTGTACCCAAATCTCATCTTGAATTGTAATTCCCATGTGGCAAAGGAGGGACCTGGTGGGAGGTGATTGAATCATGAGGACAGTTTCCCTCATGCTGTTCTCATGAAAGCAAGTGAGTTCTCATGAGATCTGATTGTTTAAAAGTGTTTGGCAGTTCTTTTTCTTCTACTCCTTCTCTCTCTCTCTCTCTTTCTCTTTCGCTCTCTCTCCTGCCACCATGTAAGACGTGCCTTGCTTCCCCTTTACCTTCTGCTGTAACTGTTAAGTTTCCTGAGGCCTTCTCAGCCATGAAGAACTGTGAGTCAATTAAACCTCAAATGGGCTAATACAGATCCCTTGCTGTTCTTATCACAGTAGCCCATAAATGATGAGAGAAAATAGTTTCTTATTGAAAATATCTAATGCTTGCTGTTTAAAGTTGACAAATGGTAGAGCACAACTTGATCATTTGTACATAACATTTAAGAAAATGTGGTAATTTCAGTTTTATGTTGAACAAACATACCTGGGTAAGCAGTGAACCTGCATTTTGGATTCAGTTCTGATAAATATAATTATGTAATAACAATAAGTAAACCACTTAAACTTTCTGGAATACCTCTTTCCTCATCTTTAAAATGAACAGAGTAAGGTTTTCAACTCTAGTTTTTTACACACAGGCTTATTTAAAATTACAATGTGCAAAACAAATAGAAATATGTATGCTATGCTTGAAGGTAGCAAAGCAGAAGAAATTTCTAACCTAATCCCCATATTACAATTTCCTCAGGGATGACTACAGCATCTACAATGAACCAGGGTTCAGTTGGAACTATCCTAAAATGGTCATAACCAGGGATCTTCTAAAGTTCATTTTAGTCATAGGTGTGTTTTATATGGCAGTTAAAACTCTATGAGATCTGTATTGGTCATGTATTGCATGTATTGCTGCATGACAAATTATCTCAAATTTATGGCTTAAAACAACAAAGACTTAGTATTTCACAAGCTATGTGATTCAGGAATCTGGGAATGGCTTAGCTGGGTATATTTGGCTCAGGATAGCTCAAAAAGCCATAGACAAGCTGTGGTCCTGGGTTGAATTTATTAATATCGCAGGGCTTGATTCAGGCTGGAGGATCTGCTTATAAGCTCATTCACGTGGCTATTAGAAGGTCTTAGAATATGTAATTCCAAACTTACTAACATGGTTGTTACAGCCTTAATTCTTTGCCATGTAAGTTTTTCCATAGATTATTCAAGTATTTTTATCATATGGCAGCTAAGGATTTGAGAGTGTGCTAGAGAACACTTAAGGTGGAAGGCACAGTGGTGGCAAAATCTAATTTCAGAAGTGAAATTGTATCATGTTCGCTGTATTCTATTCACCAAACACATGCCACTAAGTCCAGCTCATACTCACAGGGATAAAAACAAAACTTCATGTCTTGAAGGTAGATGCATCAAATAATTTGTGTACAACTGTTTAAAACCATTGAAAGACCTGATGGTGAATTTTACTGGAGGCAGCTGCATTCCTCAGGTGATATGATTATAAGCAAAAAAAGGTCAATCTTTCTGATAGAGAATGTGAAAGTAAATAAATATTATTTATATTATTTCATGACGAGATGCCACTTTGACTAAGCCATAAATGCAAAACCCCTATTCACTCTCATGCATGAACTTACCTGATCTCCAACATATTATATTTAAATGAATATCAATTAAAATTCGACTAATTTATCATTACTCAATCCTACTCAAACTATTCAGAATCACTGAGTTCCATATAGAAATATCTCAAGATCTCTACATTATATTGATGCCACATTACCTTTGAATGCTAAATCCCCAACTAATCTTTTCCTAAACATTACTTAATACTTTGCAATATATCTGTCCTGCTATTCAGTAATCAACATTCTGAGTAATCCCTAGTATTTTAAAAAGTCAAACAGCAACGGAAAAATTGTTTCCCTTAGGAATCTTAGAGGTGAACAATCTGAAAAAAAAATGAATTATATTCAGGTTTTGAAATGTGTTTCTCTTAATGTACATATGAGTCACTATCTTCTTTGATACATATAAATGGCAAATGCAATGTAATATATATTCTGCAATTTCTGTACCACTTTTATTAAGTACTATTCAAAGTGCAAAAATTGTAGTAATTTCAAACATGATTTATAAGGTTATATATACAAAAAAATTTGCAATTTAAGTGGTTGAAAGGGAACAATGAGCTCATATTTTATATTGATATAACAATAAAGTCTCTTAGGATTTATTAGTATTGGTATCCTTGTCCTTCAAGTCCCAGTTAAAATGGTAAGTTCCTTATAAAATTTTCTTCCCAGTATAATTACTTTTTTTTGTACTCTCTCTCATCTCACTTGTACTTACAACAGTTATCTCATTGCAATCCAGCACTCACTAGACTACAAGTTTTGTGAATGTTGAGAATGTGTTCTTATATCTCTTACTTTAATAACTGTAATACAATTATTTATTTACATATCTTCAGCTCTATCTTTGAAGTTTCTGTGCAAAACTAAGCTAATCACCCAATAAATTTAATAATAAAACTACCAGATAAACCATCCATAGTTGTATTAGAAAAAATTAAAATTCTTTTTTGTAACAAACAATCCCAAATTCTCAACGGCTTAAAGCAATGAAGGTTCATTACCTATTCATTCCACAAGTCCAGTCCAGACCTAAAGGAGAGGTCAATTTATCGTCATCACTAGGAGTGATGGAAGATGCTGGCATTGCAGTACAAGGTTTCAGGATTCATCACAACTGGGTAAGAGAGCATGAAGGATCACTTATCAGGTATCAAGAGCTTCCACCTCCAAGTGGCACACACTACTTTTGTTCACATTGCAATGACCATGAAACAAATCACATATTCACAGCTGACTTCAAGACACTGTGTGGCCAGAATGAAGAGTCAAAATCCTGGTGACCACTAGTGATGGCCTCTGCAATAGTCATTACATAGTATAGTATATAATCTATACACAGTTAATGAAGAAAGACAATCAGAGTAGTGAGCCAGAGCATACATGATTAATATAAGTCATTTATATGGAAGTTGGCTTATTTTAAAATAATTTATCACAAATTTTATTGTTTTAACTTGTATCATGACATTAAATGTATGTATATAATATATATAGTAAATAGTCATCATTGGAAGAAAATAATTTAAGAGCTATGACATAGAAAATACAACAACGTTTTATAGTAATGATTTTCTGTACTCTTATAGTATTACAAATATCTATTTATCTAATCTTTAAATATTAAATTTAAAATATTCTTCTAGTTGCCCTTCTTTTTCTAATTTCCTGCCTCTGGTTTATATTGGATCACTGGGTCCTGCCTAGATACCATTTCATCATTTCTCTGATTTAGGTCCGCTTTTTCAACCATATTAAAAGAGTTCTTGTATTTTCTAAGTAACCAGTTACAGAAAAAGTACGATAAATTAACATATTCAGCTCTCATATACATGCACAAATGTAAATCTTTGTCTTGAAACTCATAGAAAACATTTTTCAAAGCAAAAGGAGTTATGTTGAATCTTGAAAAATAATGTCATGATTCTTAGTTGTTTTTGTTTATTGCATTTAACTTTTTGTTATTTCTCTTTAGTTCATAATAGATTCTAATTTGGCATAATGAACATTATACCCACTACTGAATTATGGTGAGAAAATTCATTTTCTTGGCTGTGAGTAAAAAACAGAAAACTTTGTATAATGTAATACACAATCATTGAATTCCCATGACATAATATTGATAGTATTTATCCTAGAATTGTTGAAACTTTAATCTGCCTTTGAAATATAGACAATAAATACATTGTCTATATATATTGTCTATATAAATATGAATATATTGTCTATATTTATTTATTTTTGTTTCTATTAAAGCCTAAAGTGTTTAATTTATATATTATAAAATATTAGCATGGGTTTACCATCATAAAGGTTTGAAGACATTATTAAATTTAAAATGCAAAATTACTTTACATAAAATAACATAAATTACTCCATTACAAAAATTGTGTTCCAGTCAGATTTTTGTCCTTCCATATATGGTTCATATTAATATCTTGCTAACCTAAGCCACTGATGCCCCAGTCACTTCACGTGATTTAACGACAACTCCACCACTTGCTACACACAGAGCAGCTTTCTGGTGGTCCTATTACCTAGTCTTGGACAATTACATTTTCTAACCTATGAATCATAAAGATTGCTTCATGGATGGATAACTGACTCAATACGTTTAAGTGATTTTTTTTTAACTACTGAGAAAATACAATTCTGTTTTCCAAGGTAAAGAGGTAAGATATTAACATAGCATTAATGGGGGGGGGGTCACCATATAAAAATAACTTGCCTGAGAATAAAGCCAACACAGAGATGAAGAAACTGAACTAATAATATATTTAATTTCCTGGATCCAGCTAAGCCTGAAGTTAATTTTATCCTTGGGCTTTTAAGTTGCATTAGTCATTGGATTCTTTTTTATTTCTGGATCAATGTGAGTTTAGTTGTTATAATGTATACCAATGAAGTCCTTATGAGTTCTTCATTTAAACATCTCCTTATGAGATGTCTAAAAGGCAGCTGGACTGGTGATGAAGCATTAGAGATGACAAACTCTCTAAAATTTTTATATAGAGTCTATTAAAATCTAGCACCCAATGCATTTGACAATGGTTGGAGTTTTACAGATTCTACATATAATTTAACCCCATAAAAGAAGTAATTATTATTCAATTCATTATTCATTGTAAGCTTTTCCAATATTGTCATTAAATAGAGCAGCTAAATCAATATTATGAAAATCACTTATGGTAATATACTCTATAATAATTAAAATCATTTTATTATATATTTTAAGTATAATTAAAATTCAGGAGTTCAATTTTAATAGATATCTAGTAAGAGGAAAGAATATTTTATTTTCAAATATTTACTCCTATTTTATATTATATATGTAATTGAAATAGTTGGAAAGTGAATATTATTGACATTTCAGACAATAAAATGATTTCAAAGTTAACACTGAAAAATTCAATGTTATTCTGTTTTATATTTGTCTCTCATTTTCCATACTAAGTGAACCATGGACATGAAATGTGGTTGAAAAGAAAAACAAAACTTCCAATAATTTTATTATTTGCAGTTAACTCGCAATTCTAGAAGCTCAACTTACAGAAATACACTAATGAAAATAAATTTAAAGCATTAAATATGGCAGAAAATGTTTCAAAATACATAAAGTATTAGTAAAATAACTGCCAAGAAAATAAGCCATTCACAAAATGAAGTTATTATCTATAGAATTTTTGTCAATGATGATTACTCAATCTGATCACTCAATCTGATCATTATAAATTGACAAAAAAATAAAATTTGTTCCCAATTTTAACTATATTTTAGTTAAATGTAATGAGTTGAAAATTAATGTATTAATTTTATTGATGTATTACATTAATATATTAATGTAAAATTTATATAGAAATATTTATACTGATCAATCTACATAGAGAAAATGTAATAATAATTGAGAGGAATTTTCACTTAAAAATTGTTCTAAAAGCTAAATATTGATATATTTTCTTCCAGTTCATTGAGATTAAAATGAGTTTTTTATTCACAAATATATTTAAATACACCCTTAACTAGAACTGAAAGTCATACTGATTAATTCTAACATGTATCCCTCATATCCTTTTTTATTCTATTTTACTTCCATTGGGATGTTTTTTTCTAGTCAGCATTTCAACTGTTTCATTTGGAATGAAATATGCTCATCTTCATCAGACTCTTTGATAACTATCTTATAAAGGAAATTGATATTCTTCAAACTTTGTCAACTGTCTTGTTTTTATAACATACTGGTGCTTAAAAACATCCACGAGATTTCTAGGATCCTGAAAAAATACTTAAACCTTATACACCATGGAATACTATACAACCATATAACAGATATTATGTCCTTTACAGAGACATGGATGGAGCTCAAGGCCATTATCCTTAGCAAACTAATGCAGGAGTAGAAGACCAAATATTGCATGTTATCACTTATAAGAAGGAGCTAAGTGATGAGAACGCGTAGACACACAGAGGGCATGACACACACTGAGGCCTGTCAGAGGGTGGAATTTTGGAGGAGGGAGATGAACAGGAAAAGTATCTAGTGGGTACTAGGCTTAATACCTGAGTGATGAAATAATCTTTGCAAAAAAGCGCCCCATGACATAAATGTACCTATATAACAAACCTGCACATGTACTTCTGAACTTAAAATAAAAGTTAAATAAAAAATGAATAAAGCTTAATCTCGTTATGCAGTTATCTAAGTGTTAGATATAATATCTAGTATATGTTATTTAAGTAACAAAACAACAAAATAAGGTTTCCTCGTTTTACAGATGCTGAAACTGAGTAATAAATTATTTAAATAATCTTGCCCAGTCTCTTCAAAATCATACCAATCTGGTTCCAGGATCCAAGGTCTTTATTATCCTACATACTGTTTCTCACTCTACATTGGTATTTAGTTAAGTGCCTAACATTTTGTAACTGCTCAGAATCTATTTGTTTATTATGATTATATATGAAATGACTGCAAGAATGAATAAGGAATATGAATAAATTTCTAATGTCTGCAATGATTTATACAAACTTTGAAAACATGTAAGTTAATCAAATTATTTTAAAAATGCTTAAATCTTGTCTGTTTCATTAATCTATTTTTTCAATAAAGTTATAGTGCTGTATATTAAGTTTTTATTAAGAATGAAGACATCTCTTTAACTCTTTCAAAGCCTATATGAACTTTGTGAAAATTAATCTTGAAGTTAGATTTTCTGAATATTGCTATTAACAAAATTAAATACTAATTGAAATGACTTGGAGACTCAAGGAAAACATTTAATGCTTATAATTATATTTGGAATTTTTTCAAATGATATAAATTTCACATAGTCTAATGCTTCTTCATTCTGTAAAAAAGTACATTGCAATGGAAGTAAGGTGCACATAAATATCTAATGTGTGACTGAATATATAAATGGATAAGCGCAAGACTGTATGTAAAAATAGAATCCACACCCACAACCTGCAGCAATTAGCCCAGGAAGCCAACATCCTATCTCCAGAAACCATCCACAAAAGCTAACCTACTGTCTATAGTAACTAGTCCAAGAAGTCAGACGATTCTCTCGGACAACCAATTTAGGAAGACAAACAATAACCCTTATAACAATAAGCTCTTAATACTTGTCAGCTTCCCTAATATTTGCTGTTATTTAAAACAGGACTAATCAGAGGAACCCAATTACAGAGATGCCCCACTTCTGCTAGCCTGCCTGCAACTTGTCTATGTCAACAGCATACCTGAGACCTTCTTTTTTTATTCTGCTATATATCAAAATCAAGTGATTTCCCTGCTATAGCAAGCTCTGAATAAGTAGCCTTTTCTTGTTCTCATTTCTCTGCTCTTCATTTATGTTTGCCAATCTTGAGTCTAAATAGAGTCAAATATGTTTAACTATTACAAAGCTTTCAAATGATCTATTTTATCAGATGGTTATTTATCACTGTGTTATAATTGATAAGTTGAGATTAAAATATATCCTATAAACATTGTTTAAACATATTTATTATGGTGCTAGCAAGATAATCCAAACATAAAACTTAAACTTATCTGATTTTTGGAAAGAAATCTAAAAATTTCAGAATCAGCAGGATTTATTTTGATTTATTTTCTTTGGTTTGATTATATAAATAAAGTGATAAATAAAACTTAAAATATATTAATGCTCAAAGACTTATTTAAAGGTGAATTAGAGTGAGCTCTCAGGTGAGATTAAAACACTTAAATGTATCACTCATTTTATTCTCTGAATTTTTGTAAAAGGCTTTAAACAATCTTTAGTTTACATGTAGTTCCTGTTGCATTTCTTTGTGGTGTTTCTACTAAGTGTTAAATAATTACTTTTCTATTTTTCATATTTAATAGAAGAAAAAACTGACATAAAAAACGATTCAAATGACAATAATGTATTGTAGATCACTTGTGACAGATTATAAGAGAACCTGGTCATATTGACCATTATGCTTTATCTGTAACCATGTTGATAACCAAGACCACTTCTGGCCGGGTGTGGTGGATCACGCCTGTATCCCAGCACTTTGGGAGGCTGAGGCAGGTGGATCACAAGGTCAGGAGATGGAGACCATCCTGGCTAACACGGTGAAACCCTGTCTCTACTAAAAAAAATACAAAAATCTAGCCGGGCGTGGTGTGGCATGCGCCTGTAGTCCCAGCTACTTGGGAGGCTGAGGCAGGAGAATCGCTTGAACCTGGAAGGTGGAGGTTGCAGTGAGCCAAGATCATGCCACTGCACTCTAGTCTGGGCAACAGAGCAAGACTTCGTCTCAAAATAATAATAATAATAATAATAATAATAATAATAATAATAATAAAATAACCAAGACCACTTCTAACACCAAGTGAGCAATATAATATAGGAGCTTATAAAATCTGGCCACAGTTTGTTCTCTCAGAGTCAGTTTTGATGTCATATCCTGTTTTCCATAGAATTGATAATGGCATGTTTTTTCAGTCAACAGGTTTTGATTTGCTCTAAGTTTCTGGGATATTAGGGTCATTTCTACTTTAGGAATAGGTCTGGTAACTGGAGTAAAATTGTGAATACTTTTTAGTACATTTTTAGTCCAGGATAAAACTTTAAAACTCTTTAAACTTCTCTTTGACTTTGGCAACTCTAACTTTTCAGAACACTATGTTAAGATTATTCTCTTTCAGATTGCAGATTGTTTCTAATTACATTATTCTTATCTTTTGCTCACTTTTCTAATTCTTCATCATACCAAAGTTACCTTTATTTCTAATTCTTCATCATACCAAAGTTACTTCTTTATCTCATAAAATTACCAAATGCAAATCTTAGGAATTTTATGGCTAATTATTGAGTAGATATGAATAAAAGAAGTAATCAAGTGATAATTAATAAATAAACAGAGAGAAGTAAAATCAATGCATTGGTTTGCAAATCAATTAAGAGTATACTAAATTTTCATTTAATTATTTTAATGCTAGTTCTTTATTATTGAGATGAAGGACATACCTTTAGAGCCTCCTTTGGATTTTTATTTCTAACATTCAACTTCTCTCTTTTCTTTCTTTGTTTTGTATTCTCTTCACATATATCATCATTTATATTCCTATTCTTCTATTCATATATCAACATATGTAATATTCTTGGGTAGAATGGTTAGAATCTGTTGGGGGACATAAACATTGTGTATGATTCTGATTTCCCTCATAAAGCAAGACTCAATTGAGGCAAACAGAAAAAGCGAATTCATTGCAAAATCTACAACCTTCATATTTCTGACCACAGATATGAGAAAAAGGGGCTAATAATTCACCTAAAATTATTTCAGTGCATTCAAACTAATTCTGTCATATTTTCTTGTGTTACCCAGGAGGCAGTGAAGTTATTCTCAGGCGTACTGAAAGAGAATCTGTGGCTGACTTGTAGTACACCTGGTAGGAAAACCACTTCAGTATCCCCTATGTGTGGTGTAGGATCAGTTGTAACCTCCGATTTCTTTTTTTTTTTTTTTTTTTTAATTATACTTTAAGTTTTAGGGTACATGTGCACATTGTGCAGGTTAGTTACATATGTATACATGTGCCATGCTGGTGCGCTGCACCCACTAACTCGTCATCTAGCATTAGGTATATCTCCCAATGCTATCCCTCCCCCCTCCCCCCTCCCCACCACAGTCCCCAGAGTGTGATATTCCCCTTCCTGTGTCCATGTGATCTCATTGTTCAATTCCCACCTATGAGTGAGAATATGCGGTATTTGGTTTTTTGTTCTTGCGATAGTTTACTGAGAATGATGGTTTCCAATTTCATCCATGTCCCTACAAAGGACATGAACTCATCATTTTTTATGGCTGCATAGTATTCCATGGTGTATATGTGCCACATTTTCTTAATCCAGTCTATCATTGTTGGACATTTGGGTTGGTTCCAAGTCTTTGCTATTGTGAATAATGCCGCAACACATGAAAAAATGCTCATCATCACTGGCCATCAGAGAAATGCAAATCAAAACCACTATGAGATATCATCTCACACCAGTTAGAATGGCAATCATTAAAAAGTCAGGAAACAACAGGTGCTGGAGAGGATGTGGAGAAATAGGAACACTTTTACACTGTTGGTGGGACTGTAAACTAGTTCAACCATTGTGGAAGTCAATGTGGCAATTCCTCAGGGATCTAGAACTAGAAATACCATTTGACCCAGCCATCCCATTACTGGGTATATACCCAAATGACTATAAATCATGCTGCTATAAAGACACATGCACACGTATGTAACCTCCGATTTCTTATAGCATTCCCTGTGCTGTTAAAGTAACAGAAAATCTTTAATTCCAATCTTTTAAAAATATTGTGTTTTTCTCTTTTGAGAAAAGAGCAAATAACATGTAACTCAATGTTACATCCTGATAGTCCCAATGTCCACTTTAAGCTCACTTTTTTTTCAGTTGTTTATGCCTGTAAATTGGCTAGTATGTTCATTGACAGTTTTCTTTTTCAAAAAATAATTGAATTTCTATTCTCTGTGGAAATATTTGGCTTGCAAGCTACTTTCTTTATTTCTTTATAATATTTCAACTAAAATATAACTCCTGGTAATTATAAAAGCAAACAAAACAGAAACAGTGTGTGAAAATATGTTTAGATTCTTTCAAAATCTGTTTTAAAAATCTAAGCAATACCCTTGCTGTTTTTCTTGATACATGTGGCAATGAATATAAAGATAGCTATGTTCAAATTTGATATCTAAGCACTTTCAATACATTTGCAGATCAACTATAGCAACATCTATTAAATATAAAAGGTCCTATAATAAAAATAAAAATGTCTCTTGTTAGTAGGGTCAGTGGGTCAAGAAACAAAATGTAATCCATGGTGACAATTTGAGATTAAAAAATGATTCCATGTGAGATAATTATTTATCTATTGATGATTATTGAGTATAATTATGGCTTATATTTTGCAGATAATTGTCATTTAGTAGTTTCAGAGAATTTAGAGTTTCAGAAAATTTAACATGAAAATTCCATGTTCTCAGTCATAACAGCCTTGACTGCCTAGATGTACAACCTAATTTAATCAGGCTTATTAATGGCATACTGAAACTTTTATGTAGAAATTTGTGTAAAAATATCATTAAACTTTACATTTATTAGTGAATACAGGCATATACAAAACATCATTATGCAGTGATGAGTCTGTTCTTTCAGTTCTTGTGAAACAAAGACAAATTTAAAACACACATATATTGCACTGCATAGTGACCACAGTTAATAATACTGTTGTATATTTTATATTGTTAAAAAATAGATTTTTAGCATTCTCACCACAAAAAAATAAGTTGGTAAGCAAATACGTGAATTTGCTTGATTAAATCATTCTGTGAAGCCTACAGAGATCAAAACATCACACTGTACTCAGCAAGTATACACAATTATAATTTTTGAACTAAAAATAAAGAAAAATACACATACTTGACATCTGCACCTAATTTTCCATATAATATAAAATATTTAAGTAAACTTTCTTAGAGTTTAATTTTAGTATTATAAAATAATTATTCTTGCCTTTCTCAGTATTTATCAAGTTAGTGGAAAACTGTATTTGTTAGACTTTGATATATAGCTATAAGTTGAGACAGCTTGCTTGTGAGATATAGATTTATTTAAAAATATTTTATTCAGGCTCATAGTCTACTGGGTGATGGATTGTGTGCTGATAGGATGAGATTAAGTTGGTATCATTTCAACATGTTATACTTCATCTTACATTTGTTCAAGGTGTCAAACCTACTGGTCCTTGAAAAATATGTGAGACATTTACTGAGAGACATTTATATTGGCAAAACGTATCAATTCAGCCATAAAACATGAGCTTTCTGACCCTCATATCACATATGGAGAGATTAGTAATTTGTGTCAGACTGATTTTCATTACTTTGACTGATACACCAAGCAGAGTATTCACTGCATTTATACTTTTATCTGGTAAGATCCATGTCAATATTCCCAACATTCTAAGTTTAACTAAAATAGCACAAATGATTCTCTGCATGTATAAAATATGTGCTATATGAGCTCTTTGGATTTGAAAAGTTCATCTAGATTCCTCTGTCTTTGGGAAAAATCTCTTAAATCATAACTTAGATGGAAGAATGCTAGTATAGAAAAAGCTGCTTTAGCTGTTTAATTTCAGCTCTTTCAATCTGTGATCTATGGGTTTGAAAGTTTGGAGGGCAAACCAAGGAAAGCATACTTTGCTCCTCACAACTGGTTCAAACTAAGAGAACTAAATCTTAACTTTGGAATAGCACACATATATGATTGAGAGCCAAGTGCAATGGCTTATGCCTGTAATCTCAGGCATGTAATCTCACTTTGGGAGTCCAAGGAGGGAGGATCACTTGAGCCTAGGAGTTTGAGACCAGCCTGAGGAACATGGTGAGACCTTGTCAATACAAAAAACAAAAAATTAATTGGGTGTGGTGGTGCACATTGTGGTCCCAGCTACTCAGGAAGCTGAGGAGGAAGGATCGCTTGAGCTTAGGAGGTTGAGGCTGCAGTAAGCCTTCACTGCAACACTGCATCCTAGCCTGGGTGACAGAGTGAAACTCTGTCTCAAAGAATTAATTAATTAATTAATGAAATTTTTAAAAGATACGATTGGCATCTGAGGTAGGGTGGCTTAAATGCTTAAAACAAGTATAACATTGCTTCCAAATGAAAAAAAAAAGTGAAAGTCTTGGATGAAAAATGAGATGTGAAATATTAACATTTTTGTTAGAGTAAGAGCTACGAGAAAAATCAAATTTCCTTGACTACATATTACAAGCAACTGTATTGTAAATTCTAGAGGCCATCAGGGACTTTTACCTTTTTAAACAATCAGAAATAGATATCTAGAAAAAAAATTATATTCTTGATTTAGATTTATTTTATTCAAACACTATTATTTGGTTTGACACAAGCAAACCAAAACAAAAATGTTTTTACATATTATTTGGCTGTTTATATTATCAATATATTAGATAATACTTATTAACTGAATAATTACATTTTGATTAATCTTTGGGTGTTAAGCAACTCCCTATGTTATAGGTTACAATTATGCATAAGACAGTCAAGACTTGGGTACCTCTAAAGGAGGTGAGAGGCTATAAACATATACAGAAATGCACAAAACATAAAATATAAGAAAAGTGAAATTAAAAGGATTATACAATAGAGAGTAACTGATGAGCAGAAAGTATTTTAGATAGTATTTAGACTTGGGCAGGATTCTAAAAGATGAAAAAGAACCAACCACTAAGTTCTTGAGGAAGTACATTCTTTGAGGCAAAAACTGCAAAAGTGATGGAGTAGAAAGGAGCATGGTAAGTTTGAACAACACTGTAGTTAGAGCATTGTAAGCATGAGAAGATGCATGTGGGATGGAGTTGGAAAGATAGGCAGTGTCCTAACATGCAGGGCCATGGTGACTTTAGCTTGTATTACAAACTCAATGAAAAGCTCTAAAATGCTTTTCCAAAAAGTGGTTAATACAATCTATTTTACATTTTAGAAAACAATTATAAGTTAAAAATTGTTATAACAAACCATTCAGTAAAGTCGATGGTGATTTGGAATAAAAGACCAGACAAAAAATGTGAACATAATTGAGCTTTTGGAGTTAGCACCAATAAGAATTGTTGATGGCTGTATTTTGCAAATGTATGGCACTTTAAATATACTCACTTTACTACATAGGATATACCTTTAAAGCAAATGCCTACTTCTTATCCAAGACTTGAAAAATATTTGAGAGAGAACATCAAGCTGAAGTTGACTTCCCTAACCCTGAGGTTAAGCATTGATTTTGATAAAATTATTTCAGGTTATGGATCATCTCACTCGTTTTGAAACTCAGGCCATTTACCTTTTTCTTTGTTGATTTTGGCTTAAAATGAAGGAATTAAACAGTCCACTATAACTGATTTTTCTGTGAGTAGTTTTGAATGTTCAACAGACTTTATTAAGTTGGATAAATGAAGATGGTTTATGTTAAATTAATATAAACAGTTTAAAATGTAATAACAGCTCCAAATTTATTTTGACCACTAAGCTACCAGAGATCTTTGTATATTAAATCACACAGTGCATATCTTTCTCCATCTTTAAATCTAGTCGAAACGTTTTCTTCCTCTAACTCTCCTTTTCCCCACCCTGTTAAAATATAGTTACCCAGACAACTAATAATTTTTCTAATTTTATTATTCATACAAGTTTACTTACTTCAAATTCCTCCTCTCAATTCATTTCCTGGCACATTTCACATATTCAAAGCCTATGGGAGAATTTAGATGAACAAAATGACCGTATACACCATGCCTTTCGTGAAGAATAGACAGAGACCCTGAAGTGGACTTGATCAAGGTTACATTTAACCCATAAAAATAAATACCAAAATATAAAATCCTTAGAGATTGGAGTCTAAGGCAAAAATTAATTTTGAAAAAATCAATTTTCTTTTTCTTTTTTAATTTAGCATGTAAAATTAAGCAGCAAAATGAAATGTTAAAAAAAACAAATCGTGTGTGTGTGTGTGTGTGTCCTTTATTCCACAGACAAACTTGTGTGGAATATAGGGATTATAAAATGGAGACCACCCGACCATTTCCATTAAAGGATATATTTATTGTGCAAGAAATCAATGGCTTCAGAAGGAACTTGTTTTAGATATTTTACAATTCCAGATCCAAAAGATTGGCCAGGGGCCCTGATTTTCCTCTATGGGTCCATTGTTAAACTCAATTTTCAGAAGGATTAAAAAGAAATAAAGAAAAACCATCTGCCTAACCCCTCATTATAATACATGAAATCTCTGCATTTTACTCCAATATAGATTACCTAGCTTCACACCAGTAATTTGTTAGTACAATATTGAACTTACCATTGCTAACACATTTTGAAAAGTAGTTGAGAAGACTATGGAATTTCTTTACATATTCAAAAATCTCCTGAAATAGATTATAAGAGAAATGGGTACATGAACAAGTAGTGCTTAATTGATCTGCTGTTGGATAGTCTTTACTAAATTGTGTTTTACCAAGTTGTTGTATGTATGGTAGTAACAGATACATTTCACTTTCTTTTTTTCTTACTCTTTGGGTCTATGGATCTGGGAGTGGAGCTAATAAAGTGTGGAAATTATATCATGAAGAATTAATATTTGCAAGAGAAACGTCTGTTTCCTTAGCACGTGCTTCCTCAGTGGGATGTGATATTGCCTACAATAGATGAAAAATTGGTTTTGGGGCATGGGGAGCAAACAAGAGTACTCTTTTATGTATAAAGCAGAGATACATATGCAACACCTAAAGAGATATACAGCATTCTATGCTATTAAAATTTTCTTTAGGGGAGGGACAATTAGGAAAAACTTAGAAAAATATCAAATTCTCTCCTTAAATGGATAACAATGAAAAAAAGTTGAGAAATACCAGTCTAATATATGTTCAACCTGAGAAGTATACTCTTGAGAAGTATAGGGAACCACCACTCTAAGATTTCACTCTTGCATTCACTAACAAGTATGGTTCTAATTATTAGACTCTTTACTCTCTACAGATATTCCAAGGCAAACTTGTAATTTGTGTTCTAACAAGAAGTAGCCTTATGAGTCCCCCAGGCATTTTTACTAGCTGGATTATTTTGAGGAAATTAATTAATTACATTACATAGTGTTCTCATGTTGAAAACGTTTCAATGAAACATTGACCTGGCCTCAATGCTTATAATAATTGTTCTCCTGAGTATCTGTTTTGTTGTCTTATGAAACTTGTGAAATCTGTAACTATTTCTGTCTTCATATTGGCTAACGGAAAACATAATAAAATTTTTTTACCCAGTATGAAGTGTATAAAAGATTGAAAATATGTATATATGTAACCTAATATTGGTTGTTATATCTTGCTTTCCTGCATTTTTTTTGTTTTATTATTTTAACCTAGTTTTAAATGTATTTAATTTTACATGAATTTTCTTATGGCTTATGCTATCTGCAAATACATTTATAACATAAAAGAGAAATGTAGATAACATGAAAGAAAGGAAAGTAGCTTTTACTTTTAAAAAATGTCAGGGTTTCAAATTTACTATGGACCATTCCAGTACTAAAATTCCAAGTGAGTAAACTCATAAGTGAATCAATCCTTTAACTTATGTTATTATTCAAATGTGAACATCACCCTGTATGATTGTTGAGAACACACTCTGAGTGTTGTGTGTATGTGTGATGAATATGTTTGTGGCCCTTTTGTGAGGCATGGAGACCAACTGACATTCAGCAAAAAGAAACCTAAAGGAATGAAGAATTGTGTACTTCCAATGCCTTTTTATTTATAGAACACAAACTAACAAAAAAATAGGAAGCACTCCTCATATAATGCAAACTCAAATGTGTGGAGAACTGTGTTTTCAACTATATTAGGACAAACATACTGAAGCACTGATGCATTATAACTGAGTGTAAACTTGGCCTATGGAGATCAATATCTGTTTGTGAAGATACTTCTGTTTCCTAAATGTTTACAGTTAAAATAAGACAGGTGTGAATAAGCAAGCCCTTAATAAAACCCCACAGAATCCAGCACATGGCTATTCTTGCTCATACAGTAAACTGTCTATCCTTGGACCAACAAATGTCATTTAAATTCCTATTGTCACAAGACCCTAACTCTTTAACTAGATTGCATGAGAAGTGGAAGGCTCCAGGTGACATACAAAAAGGGGCAGAAGTTATGTGGATCTTGAAGTATTAAAGGAAAACTAAAGCCTTTCCAGTGTCCCCATTACTACATTAGAATTAAACTTAGCAAAGATACAAGTGATGTTGTAAGGACTAAGTTTATTATTTTTTTCACCCCCAATCAAATTGATATTTGGCTGTATGTTTTTATGAATTGTAAACCCAGTTGATTTTGTCTAGGCTTTTATTTAGTTTATTTGATTGGCTGTTTTCTTATTTTAAAAGTCTAGAACCTTTAGGCAGGGCACGGTTGCTCACGCCTGTAATCCAGCACTTTGGGAGGCTGAGGCAGGTGGATTACGATGTCAGGAGTTCGAGACCAGCCTGACCAACATGGTGAAACCCCGTCTCTACTAAAAATATAAAAATTAGCCGGGCATAGTGGCGTGCACCTGTAATCTCAGCTACTCAGGAGGCTGAGGCAGGAGAATCACTTGAACCTGGGAGGTGCAGCTTGCAGTGAGCCGAGATCGTGCCACTGCACTCCAGCCTGGGTGACAGAGCGAGACTCCGTCTCAAAAAAAAAAAAAAAAAAAAAAAAAAAAAAAAAAAGTCTAGAACGTTTAAACTTCCCTTATTTAATAACAGGAAATTTTCAAGGGAAATGAAAGATTTCCAGGAGCCAAGGTTGCGAGGTTATATAGATAGTTTTAGATTACTGAATATTTAATTAACCAACAATAGTGTTCTATGTAGCACTGAGTGATGTCCTCCAACTTAAGACACAGGTTCCTTGCAATTCAGAAAGGATTGAAAGAAACATGTTTAGTAGTTTCAATTCATATTCGGTGACTAATCACAGAAGTCCTCTATTAAAGTAGAAAATAGTAGCTGTGCTTATGGGAAGAATACACCAAAGTTCAGTTCAAATTGCACAATATGTATGATACATGTGAGATTTTTTTCTAATCCAAATTTTGAATATCAGAGTAATATTTTAACAGCAGTTCCTAAATCCTAATTGGTAATCATGTTGCTATTACCTTCAGAATAGATTTTTGATGTCTGTTGCCATTTTAAATAAGATAGCTTAGTGATGTGATTCTCCCCTGAGCTGGCAGAAAAAGGAGGACAACTTTGCATTTCTATTTCTAATTTAGTAACTGGTAGTAACTTTTACCTCAATTTTTGTAGAAAAATGTCATGTCTCCTTAAGCCTTAAAAATATCATTCTAAAAATTCTCTAATACTTTAATGTTTGAAGAAAATCTAAAGTTTTATTCATGGAATGGAGCTTTTATGTCATGCAAAGATATAAAATGTTTTCATAGTACCTGTTCTCCCTATTTTATAACTGAAATAAACTCTGCTTTGCTGTAAAGCCACCTAAAATGTTAACTGGATAATAACTCTACTTCTAAATATCACAACCATGAAAAAGTAGTGATTTTGTCTTTATGGTTTAAAAAAATAAGGACTTAAAATATCAGATATCTAAGAATGCTTTATTTGAAGAAAAAAATTAGACATTACTATTTGAGGAACTTGTAAGTAGTAATGTATGAGGAATACAGACACATAAAACTGAGGAAGTTTGCTGCTGTGTTTCTACATATTTTCATATATATACATATATATATTTAGACAACTAGAATCTGAATTATATAAAGTTATAGTAAAATATTCTCAACCTGATTTCATTTTAGTTTCAGCAGATTTGGAACAGCATATCACAGAAGTATGAAGTTTCCAGATAGTCTGAGATCTAATCCTTTATCCATTGCTAAGCCTCGCCTTTGTTTTCAATATGAAGTAAGATAACAGTGTCTCCAACAGTGTCTGCTCAATAACTACCAGTTTTCTTTCTCTTTCTATATTAGTAATTTACTCAAGAAGCAGCTGTTGGACTTCTGGTCTATAATTGGCACCCCAATAAAACCATGCATAGAATTTTCCTTTAGTCTTGAAAGAAAAAGAGAAACGGAGTCCTTACAATATGATTTAGTTATTTTAGTTACTCATTTTTTATTGAAAATTATATGTAGATAAGAGAAATATGTAATATTATGTGTACATATTCTAAATTCACAACAAAATCATTTTGTTTATGATATACCTCACCTGATAGTAATGTCAGAGCCAAAGGAAGCTCCTCACATTGATATAATTTGGGGGGTCAGAATCAGATTCTAATTTAAGGGTTCCATTCTATTGATTCATGGGCAGTGACCAAAAAATGAGTAGGTGAGGAACAATGATACAGGAAAGTAAAGGCAGCAGTAACAGGTGGGCTATTAAGCCAACTATGTAGTGGAATCTGGAGAATAATCCAAGGAGAAACTCTGCAAATGCAAAACACAAGCCTCTGTAATAACAAACAGAGTATTAGGAAGCTGGTGTATTTACACCCATTCACTGGGTGGTCAGTGGTTACATCTTTCCAATATGGTAAAAATTAACTTCCAAATATATCCAGCATCTTGAGGACAGATCAAGGAAAATCAGATCGATTCTGGATCTTTCAGGTCAGCCTAACATACATAAAAGTATTTAGAACTCTTAATACAACAATGACTGCAACTCTGTAAATGTTATTTTATTAAAAACCTATTTATTTAAATATATAAATGTAGGTAATTCCTACTCACAATAAATTTAATTTAATGTATTACACATTTTTAAAAAACTTATCTAGATGAAAAGTTTTATTACTCAACTATGAGTATATATACATTTTATTTAAATAACAGAATAAAAATTATTTTTCTTACTACAGAACAAATGCATGCTTATTTCATAAGATTAGAAACTATGGATAAGAAAGGTAGGTAAATTAAAATTTCTGAATGTAATAAATACTATGAAGACATAGGTACTGTTAACTTTTTGAAAACGTTAATTTTTTCCTGATGCATAACCTTATTGCTAATGATGTTAGGATAGATAGTAATATCTAGGATAGAATTAGGATAGATAGATGATACCTACCCTGTACTAATAATGAATATTTATTTTTATAAAATATTTGACAGAGTGTAAGAGAAAAACACTTCCACATTGAGAGAATATATTAGTCATGAACTAATTAGCATGGGTGTGCATGGATTTTAGAGTATCAAATGATAAGCCTTGTTTATGTGTGTGGGTGTGTGCATCCACAAGTGTATGCCTAAGTAATGTCAACTCAAGTATGCCTGCTTTTTTAATTGTTAGGGTTCTCTTAGAGTACACAAATGTAGGACCATACTAAATTAATGCATACACTTACGCTGAAGAGTGGCCTCTCCGCACAACATATAAAGGAGAATGATGATGCTTCACCCTAATTATCTTTATGGTCAGGCTAACATATAATACACAACTCTAGAACATTATTTGGGTAAACATATATATTTCTAAAATTAGGTCAAATTTTATCAAATCTGGCCCTACCAGAAACTTAGATGAGAATATCATATTTTATGAGTTTCTTAACATAACTTTGATTCTATGTGAAGTGCTTTATGTAAATTATGAGTTGTTTTCCTATATAGCTTAATTCAGATCTCTCACTCCAATTTCAGCTGTAATTTATTATACAAAATTTATGTAATTAACTTGCTTGTTTATTCAGAAAAGTACTTAGACACTCAGTATAAGCATTATGGTAGTGGCTAGAGGTAGTCTATCAATTAATTTTTAGTGCTTTCAAAACCCCGAAAACTTAGTTCTTTAGCAAGAAAATATTCATTATTTCTTTCAGTTCTGAGGTAGAGTCATTATTTTGTTATGGGTCAGTCTATCTAATATCTGTGTTATGCTGGTAGCTCAGCTAAAACTGATTATTCTAGGATGGCCACACTATGTATCTGGCATTTGGCAGGTTATTTGATTTAGATCTTTTCTAGGACTGGGCTATTTGTTCTAGGCTAGAACACTTTGTTTTTGTCCCATGAAGTTCTCTTTCCCACTTATGGACTAACCCCATGCTCCTCCAGTTGGTAACACCAAGGATCCAAAAAGCAGCAAGAGAGAAAGTCTTAATGCACAAAGACTTTTCTCAAACAGCTAATTTTTTCTTGGACAAAACAAATCATAAAGCCAGCCCAACATCAGTTTGAGAAGCTATAACCAAAGAGCCTGAATAGGGAGAAGGGAATACAATACTAATAATATAAAATAATATGCTGTATAATTTAATATAACATTTATTCTGAAGAAGCTCACAGTTTGGGGAAGGAAAAAGAGACATAAACATATTTTTAAAAGGTCAGTGAAAATATAATTATTGAAACTTACCAAGATGACCTTAATATTGCTTTTCACTGGCCTAAACTTTAGATGGATTTATTTCTGACTATGGACTCCTGACCTTGCTTTTCTGAAAGCATTACTTTAGAAAACTTGCAATTATAAATTCTTTCTCTCCTCCTTTGAGATGTAAATATTCTTTCACTTCTTGCCAGTTTTACCATCCAGGAGTGTCTTTCTCAAGGACCTTTAAGTCATCCCTTTGGAATGCAATCATTCAGAAAGATAGAGCTCTGTCTTAGCCCACTTTCTGCTGCTACAACAGAATACCTAAGAATGGGTAATTTACCGAAAAAAAAAAAAAAAAAAAAAAAAATATATATATATATATATATATATATATATATATATATATATATTTCTTACAGTTCTGGAGGCTGGAAAGTTCATTATCAAGATGCCAGCCTCTGATAAAGGATTTCTTGCTATATCATCCTGTGGCAGAAGGTGAGAGAGTGAGAGAGAAAGGGAGAGAAAGAAAAGTAGGCTGTGATAATTACATTAATCAATTCATGAAGGCAGAGCCCTCAAGACCTAATCACCTCTCATTAGGCCTCACCTGAAAACACCATTGCAGTGGGGATTAAGTTTTCAACACATGCTTTTTGGGGAGCACATCAAACCATGGCAAGCCCCTATCTTTCAGTTTATATGTCAAGGTGAAAGCCTAACTTCCATAGGCACCAGTTATTAATACCCAACACGGCCTAATTATATTAGCCAATATTTCCCTTAACTTCTTCTATTTTTTCACTGTTCTCCACAATGCTAAAAAAATTCTCTTAACTTTTGTTTTAGTAGAGTCTTTCTCACCAATTGAAGTAGTCTTGAACAAAGTATTCCTTGACTGTTTAACATGTTCAATGCAATTTTTCTTTGACAGAAGAAAGAGGGAGATTTAACCTGTCTTTGACAGAGGAGTAGAGTAGGAACCAGAACAGGTCTTATGTTGGTTATTATCTGAGTTAACTGTCCTCACTATGGACTACTTTGGAAACAAAATATGATTTTTTCTTCAAGGGACTCAGATAATTTCTGGTTTCACTATATTTTTATTCTGAAAGAAATAAAAGTGATCTGGAGTTTAAAGAAAATATTTCTTAATTCTATCTCAACATGTTTACTCAAACCTCGTGAATTATTTTTTTATTTTCAAGAGTTATTTTGACACAAGCACTGGTATATCTTCAAAAGAGTACATTTATTAATTTTACCCAGCTTTTATTATAAAATTAGAAATTTATATTCTGGCATTTTCATTATGCTACTGTAACTTTTGATAATAAGTAAATTCAGAATACATCTTTAATAATTCTAGAATAGTTGACTTCAGAGAGTGGGACATTTCTTTAAAGAAATAATCTATCATTTAATATGAAGTTGAGTCTTATTTCCTGATAGACGTTACTTTTGACGTTAAGAAAATCCTCAATACTCAAGCTGTTACATGTGATTTTTAAAAATATTAATAAACTTAAAAAGAGATGTATATTTTTATTTTATCCACCACCCTTTAAACATATTGATTTCTGCTTAATATATTTATGTCATTTCTTAGTTTTGCCAAATTCCTGTATTCTGAAATTAAATTTTAATTTTCTATGATCTATTATAATACAATTTTGGAGGAGTTTATTTTCTGTTGTTATAATGAATAGATTTTATGTTCATGAGTGTACATAATTGATTCATAAGTTTTTATGCTAATTTTCATCTTTGAATTTTAGTGTTAGATCAACATTGTAAAATACAATGAGAAATTTTCCATCACTCTAATTTTCAGTAAGTAACAGTTCTTTTCAAATTTCAGTGTATCAGAAATTCATCTAAATGTGAGCACGTTTATCTTAGTTATATTCCTAATTTCTCCCATAATTATTGTCCCATTATATTTGTCTTCTTTATAGTCATTAAATCAATTCTATTAACCTATATTTTTTGAAAAAATCATACATTGATAGAATAAATTCTTATTGTATCACTCAGTCTTTGCACACATCCTACCAATATCACACATATTATGAAGAGTAAATAATCCATTATCTTTCATACCTACACATTATAGAGAAGTTATAAATCACTATTAGCTAAAATTCATGTGTAATGAAGCATTCAAAACAGGCAGAGGCATCCACAGGGCATGCTGGTTGAGAGAGTTGGGTGTAGATTTTTATGGAAAAGAGGAGAGGAGCATGGGACCAACAATGGTAGAACATACATAAAAATTACCTCAAAATTTCCCTAAGTGGAAAAATGTGGAAAATAATCTAAGATCTGGTATTTTTAAGACACTGGCTACTATGGACATCAAAAGCAATTTTAAGAAGGCACTACTTCTAGGAATGGGGGAGATGACTGGGAAGGGATGACATCCTCTGGAGGTTTTGGTTTGTTGATGAAAAAAAGACAAGGAACAGAAAAGTGAAAATTAAGAATCTTAGAAATAAGAAAATTAGAAAATCAGAAAAGGCAAATTCCTCCCTTCCCTAAATACCACCAATTTATTACTTAAAATGCATTTCACTTTATATGATCACTATATATGATCATTTTCCTGAAGAAGAAAATTATATGACATTTCAAAATGGAAAATTGTGGGGAATATCTATAAAGAGATAGTAACTGAACAAAAGATCAAAATACTATGGCGGATAAAAATATTCAATAACAAAGCAATCCTAAAGAAGAAAAATAGTGTAACATATTATTTCACTTGCAGAATAAAAGAAAAAACAATCAAGATTTAAAATCCAGAACAGAAATAAGAAAAACGTAAGAAGATGTGAAAACAAAAGTTGACCAAATTCGGGAAAGAAATTAAAGCAGGTAGGGGGCAGAAATTCATCCCAGAATTGAGACTAAATCTAAAATACATAAGAAATAATAGTTTTCACTAAAGACATAATAAAATACATTGAGGAAAGAAAAGAAAATAATCCAAAAATTGTTTAAATAGTGGAATTAAGAAGTAGAAAGGATTAGAGAAGTGATGTATTTAGATAATAAACAAACCAACTTCAACATACATACAGTTAACATCTCTGGGGGAAAAATAGGACAGAAATGATATTCAAAGTATAACATGAGCAAAATTTCCAGAAAAAAAGAGACACTTGAATCTACCAATAAAACAGGCTCATCATGTAACTGAAAATCCTGATCCTAATGACACACTATAGATACATACCAATGACATTACTTGAATCCAGGGAAAAAGATTGAGAAAATTGAAATGGAAAGACAGCTAGGTTGTTCAGAATATTCAACAACAGTATACAAAGGAGATATCAGTGAATAATATTTTCAAAAATCTCAAGAAAATAAATTATAATCCATGAGTTTTATATGGAGCCAAGCTATTCTTCAAGTAGCAAAGCTATTGTACTAGGATTGTAAACACATGAGATTTCAGGAAAAATCATACACACAGGGTCTTCCAGAGCATCCTACTATAAAAAGAGCTTCACCCAAATAAGATATGACTGGGGATATCTTTGCACAAGTTCTGATAATGAACATCGAATATGTTTAATCATACATCCAAGAAAAAGAAAAGTAAAAATGAGTGAAAGAATAATATGTCAATGTCCTATATTCTGACCAAGTAGACATAACATAATTAAATAATTTGGAGAAGGGAGAAAGACAAGTAGAAGAAGCTCATTGATAACTTCTAAGGAAAAAATGGAAAAAATAATAAAATGTTAGCATTTAATGCTAACAAAAGAAACTAAATGATAAAATAGGTCACTACAAAAAATATAAAAGTCATAATTATAAAGAAAATCACTAAAAAATTCAATGGAAAATAATGAAAAATAGCAATAGAAAAAAATTTTGAAAAGTTTACAAACCACATAGACAAGCCAATCATTATAAGCATCCACAGTAAATATGACAATGTCAACTACAAGCATATCTTCACAGGTACCAAACAAGACCAGAAATCATCCTTCTTCTTACCCTGAGACTGATGCATAATTGACTTTTCCTCTACTTCTTCTTTTCACAGGTTTACCTTAACTAATGTAAAAGGTAGATTTACTGAGGGCTTATCAGAGCCTCACTGGAATGTAACCTTTTGCCTACCTGCCCACCTTCCGTCCCATTTTCCCTTCTGCTTGCTTTTTCTTTTTATTTGTTTTCATTTTTTAATTTAAAAAATTTACCCAGTTAAAAAACAGCTTTTTTTCCTTTAAATTCTGAGTTCCCAAAACACTCTTTAGAAAGCACAAGTCACAGAAGTTCCTGTGACTTGTGATTCTCCCGAGCGCTACATCGAACTTTGGCTCAATTAAACTCCATTGATTGAGACTCTTGCCTCAGTCACTTTTCCTTTAACATATGTATCAAATTTTAAAGCCTCAATAATGAGCAATGTATCAAGTTTTTATAGGACATTTAAGAAAATTGGCCACACACACACACACACACACACGTATGTTTCATAAACTAGAAATCTCATGACAAATTTATCTGGTAATGAAGGAACAATACCATAAATGTTCAATGAAAGCAAAGGCACATGAAAGCTGTTCTAGCTAGACTTGAAAAGCCTTTTATTAAGAGGGGTCTTTGGTGAAAGGAAATATAAAGACACATAATCATTCACTACATTGACTTTTCAAGTCCCTCAAGGAGTATTGTGTTATACAGTATTCTCTTAACATTCTTATTTTCTTACATAGAAGTTTAATAAATTTTTTTCTAGTTCAAATTTGAGAAATGGATGTGTTCTCTGTGATCCTATTGAAAATATGAATAATGAATTAATCTTTTTTTTACAGATTGAGGTTGTCAGATTTATCAATGCCAGTATCTAAATTTTCACATTAATTTATTACTTGGATTTAATATTTTTTTCTTCCAGCTTTACAGGAAAGTATAAAAATTTCAATTACATAATATTCTGGAATGCTTTAGTCAAAGAAAATGTATGCAATGTATTTTTCTATTATTGAACAACGATATGCAATTTACAAGAGGACTATCTCAAACACAATACTGCAAGGGGCCAAATAAAAGAATAGATTATGCTGCTCAAATAACAAATATAAAAACTGATCTATTAATATGAGTAGATAGGTGTAATAAAAACAAATTATTAGAAATAAAAAGGTTAGTTTGTAATATAAACAGAAGCATATATAAATTAAAATTTAATAGATATACAAGACAAAATAAAGCCAAAATTGGATTCATCTTAGCTTTTGCTGCCTTTTCTTTTTTCTTAAAAAAAAATTTCATTTTTGGTTTTCTGTCATAAAATGTATCTTTTGGTTTTTATAGGAAATTATCCTTAGGAGTATGTTGTTTATTTTGAGGATATATTTATCAGTGTGTGTGCATTATATAGACACAGGCTATGGCATTGCTTTCTGTTTTTATCTTTAGTGAAAGTAAATCTATTTTGATCTGGGAAAAAAGTGAATTTTTTAATGTCGATTTCCAATGTTTCATTCACCAGTTTTTGAAAATCATACTTTTTCTCCAAGTAACTAAAATTTACCTGGATCTAAGATCTCCTACTATATTGTTGTTTTGGATGGCATACCATACAAAGGAAAATTATTTGACATTAAAAGGAATGAAGTATGAATGTGTGCTATAACTTGGACAAACCTTGAAAACATGATATTGAATGAAAGAAGGCAGTCACAAAAGGCCACATATTACAGGAGTCTATTTATAAGGATTTTACAGAATAAGCGGAAGGTAGATTACTGATTGCTATGGAATGAGGCAGGGAGAAACGGGGTGACTGCTAATGGTTACAGAGTTTCTTTTGGCATGACGAAAATTTTCTGAAATTATATAGTGGTGATGGTTACATAACCTTGTAAATATACTGAAAACTAGTTAATTATACACATAAAAAGTGAATTTTATGTTAATCATATCAATTATATTTCAATTTCTTCACAATGCATATTTGGCTGAGTCTCCTTGTGCAAGAATGTTGCAACACTACCTCGAATACATACAATAGATATTTCTTGAATTATTTTAAGAAAATAACTTAAACCCATTTAAAACAAAAAAAAACTATACATTGGGGAAAGTCCAGTAGCCAGGCATATCAAGAGGTATTACATACAGTATCTGTGCTGCCTCAATTTTCCATATGACCCCTTTGTTAGAGGTAAGTTTAGGGAAGTTAAATCCTGGCCCAAGTTTATTGCACAGTGAGTTCATTAAGTCTGTGCCCTCCCCTTGGTTATAATTGCCTTTAGCCTCTACTGCAATGAAGTATGTACCAGGTGGCAAAGATCACACACAAGGATATGTGACCTACAGATAATTTGCCTTATGTAAAAGAGGCCAAGAGGAAACCACTAAAATTACCTCTCTGTATCCAAGATTATAAATAAGAAATTATATACATCCCTGCCAGAATCACATAGGTCATCACTTTTTTTTTTTTTTACTTTAAGTTCTAGGGTACATGTGCACAACGTGCAGGTTTGTTACATATTTATACATGTGCCATGTTGGTTTACTGCACCCATTAACTCATCATTTATATTAGGTATTTCTCCTAATGCTATCCCTCCCCCATCCCCCCACCGCATGACACACCCCGGTGTGTGATGTTCCCTGCCCTGTGTCCAAGTGTTCTCATTGTTCAAATCCCACCTATGAGTGAGAACATTCAATGTTTGGTTTTCTGTCCTTGCAATAGTATGCTGAGAATGATGGTTTCCAGCTTCATCCATGTCACTACAATGGACATGAACACATCCTTTTTTATGGCTGCATAGTATTCCATGTTGTGTATGTGTCACACGTTCTTAATCCAATCTATCATTGATGGACATTCAGGTTGGGTCCAAGTCTTTGCTATTGTGAACATTGCCACAATAAACATATGTGTGCATGTGTCTTCATAGTAGCATGATTTATAATCCTTTGGGTATATACCCAATAATACGATCGTTGGGTCAAATGGTATTTCCAGTTCTAGATCCTTGAGGAATCGCCACACTGTCTTCCATAATGGTTGAACTAGTTTACACTGCCACAAACAGTGTAAAAGCGTTTCTATTTCTCCACATCCTCTCCAGCACCTGTTGTTTCCTGACTTTTTAATGATCACCATTCTAACTGGTGTGAGATGGTATCTCATTGTGGTTTTGATTTGCATTTCTCTGATGACCAGTGATGATGAGCATTTTTTCATGTGTCTGTTGGCTGCATAAATGACTTCTTTTGAAAGGTATCTGTTCATATCCTTTGCCCACTTTTTAATGGGGTTGTTTGATTTTTTCTTGTAAATTTGTTTAAGTTCTTTGTAGACCCTGGATATTAGCCCTTTGTCAGATGGGTAGATTGCAAAAATTTTCTCCCATTCTGTAGGTTGCCTATTCACTCTGAAGGTGGTTTATTTTGCTGTGCAGAAGCTCTTTAGTTTAATTAGATCCCATTTGTCTATTTTCGCTTTTGTTGCCATTGCTTTTGGTGTTTTAGTCATGAAGTCCTTACTCATGCCTATGTCCTAAATGGTATTGCCTAGGTTTTCTTCTAGGGTTTTTATGGTTTTAGATCTAACATTTAGGTCTTTAATCGATCTTGAATTAATTTTTGTATAAGGTGTAAGGAAGGGATCCAGTTCCAGCTTTGTACATGTGGCTAGCCAGTTTTCCCAGCTCCATTTATTAAATAGGGAATCCTTTCCCTGTTTCTTGTTTTTGTCAGGTTTGTCAGAGATCAGATGATTGTAGATGTGTGGTGTTATTTCTGAGGCCTCTGTTCTGTTCCATGGGTTTATGTTTCTTGTTTTGGTACCAGTACCATGCTGTTTTGGTTATTGTAGCCTTGTAGTATAGTTTGAAGTCAGGTAATGTGATGCCTCCAGCTTTGTTCTTTTGGCTTAGGATTATCTTGGCAATGCTGGTTCTTTTTTGGTTTCATATGAACCTTAAAATAGTTTTTTCCAATTCTGTGAAGAAAGTCATTGGTGGCTTGATGGGGATGGCAATGAATCTATAAATTACCTTGGGCAGTATGGCCATTTTCACAATATTGATTCTTCCTGTCCATGAGCATGGAATGTTCTTCCATTTGTTTGTATCCTCTTTCATTTCATTGAGCAGTGATTTGTAGTTCTCCTTGAAGAGGTCCTTCACATCCCTTGTAAGTTGTATTCCTAGGTATTTTATTCTCTTTGTAGCAACTGTGAATGTGCGTTCACTCGTGATTTTGTTCTCTGTTGGTCTGCTATTGGTGTATAAGAATGCTCGTTATTTTTGCACATTGATTTTGTATCCTGAGACTTTGCTGAAGTTGCTTATCAGCTTAAAGAGATTTTGGGCTGAGATGATGGGGTTTTCTAAATATACAATCATGTCATCTGCAAACAGGGACAATTTGACTTCCTCTTTTCCTAATTAAACACCCTTTATTTCTTTCTTTTGCCTGATTGCCCTGGCTAGAACTTCCAACACTATGTTGAATAGGAGTGGTGAGAGGACATCCCTGTCTTGTGCCAGTTTTCAAAAGGAATGCTTCTAGTATTTTCCATTCAGTATGATACTGGCTGTGGGTTTGTCTTAAATAGCTCTTATTATTTTGAGATACGTTCCATCAATACCTAGTTTATTGAGAGTTTTTAGCATGAAGGGCTGTTGAATTTTGTCAAAGGCCTTTTCTGCATCTATTGAGATAATCATGTGGTTTTTGTCTTTGGTTCTATTTATGTGATAGATTACGCTTATTGATTTGCATATGTTGAACCAGCCTTGCATCCCAGGGATGAATCCAACTTGATCTTGGTGGATAAGCTTTTTGATGTGCTGCTGGATTCTGTTTGCCAGTATTTTATTGAGGATTTTTGCATCAATGTTCATCAGGGATTTTGGTCTAAAATTTTCTTTTTTTGTTGTGTCTCTGCCAGGCTTTGGTATCAGGATGATGCTGGCCTCATAAAATGAGTTAGGGAGGATTCCCTCTTTTTCTATTGATTGGAATAGTTTCAGAAAGAATGGTACCAGCTCCTCTTTGTACCTCTGGTAGATAAAACCACGAAGATGGGAGAAAACACAGCAGAAAAGCTGAAAATTCTAAAAACCAGAGCGCCCCTTCTCCTCCAAAGGATCGCAGCTCCTCACCAGCAATGGAACAAATCTGGATGGAGAATTACTTTGACGAGTTGACAGAAGTAGTCTTCAGAAAGTCGGTAATAACAAACTTCTCTGAGCTAAAGGAGGATGTTTGAACCCATCGCAAGGAAGCTAAAAACTTTGAAAAAAGATTTGACAAATGGCTAACTTGAGTAAACAGTGTAGAGAAGACCTTAAATGACCTGATGGAGCTGAAAACCATGGCACGAGAACTACGTGAATCATGCACAACAAGCTTCAGTAGCCAATTCAATCAAGTGGAAGAAAGGGTATCAGTGACTGAAGATCAAATGAATGAAATGAAGCGAGAAGACAAGTTTAGAGAAAAAAGAGTAAAAAGAAATCAAGAAAGCCTCGAAGAAATATGGGACTATGTGAAAAGACCAAATCTACGTTGGATTGGTGTACCTGAAACTGACAGGGAGAATGCAACCAAGCTGGAAAACACTCTTCAGGATATTATCCAGGAGAACTTCCCCAACCTAGCAAGGCAGGCCAACATTCAGATTCAGGAAAAACAGAGCTAACAGCACAATGATACTCCTCTAGAAGAGCAACCCCAAGACACATAATTGTCAGATTTGCCACAGTTGAAATGAAGGAAAAAATGTTAAGGGCAGCCAGAGAGAAAGGTTGGGTTACCCAGAAAGGGAAGCCCATCAGACTAACAGTGGATCTCTCCGCAGAAACTCTACAAGCCAGAAGAGAGTGGGGGCCAATATTCAACATTCTTAAAGAAAAGAATTTTCAATCCAGAATTTCATATCCAGCCAAACTAAGCTTCATACACGAAGGAGAAATAAAATCCTTTACAGAGAAACAAATGCTAAGAGATTTTGTCACCACCAGGCCTGCCTTACAAGAACTCCTGAAGGAGGCACTAAACATGAAAAGGAACAACCCATATTAGCCACTGCAAAACCATGCCAAATTGTAAAGACCATCGATGCTAGGAAGAAACCGCATCAACTAACAGGCAAAATAACCAGCTAACATCATAATGACAGGATCAAATTCACACATAACAATATTAACCTTAAATGTAAATGGCCTAATGCCCCAATTAAAAGACACAGACTGGCAAATTGGATAAAGAGTTAAGACCCATCAGTGTGCTGTATTCAGGAGACCCATCTCATGTATAGAGACACACATAGGCTCAAAATAAAGGGGTGCAGGAAGATCTACTAAGCAAATGGAAACCAAAAAAAAGCAGGGTTTGCAATCCTAGTCTCTGATAAAACAGGCTTTAAACCAACAAAGATCAAAAGAGACATAGAAGGCCATTACATAGCAGTAAAGGGATCAATTCAACAAGAAGAGCTAACTATCCTAAATATATATGCACCTAATACAGGAGCACCTAGATTCATAAAGCAAGTCCTTAGAGACCTACAAAGAGACTTAGACTCCCACACAATAACAATGGGAGACTTTAACACCCCACTGTCAATATTGGACAGATCAATGAGACAAAAGATTAAAAAGGCTATCCAGGACTTGAACTGAGCTCTGCACCAACCAGTCCTAACAGACATCTTCAGAACTCTCCACTCCAAATCAACAGAATATACATTCTTCTCAGCACCACGTCGCACTTATTCCAAAATTGACCACATAGTTGGAAGTAAAGCACTCCTCATCAAATGTAAAAGAACAGAAATCACAACAAACTATCTCAGAGCACAGTGCAATCAAATTAGAACTCAGGATTAAGAAACTCTCTCAAAACCGCACAACTACATGGAAACTGAACAACCTGCTCCTGAATGACTACTGGGTAAATAACGAAATGAAGGCAGAAATAAAGACGTTCTTTGAAACCAATAAGAACAAAGACACAACATTCCAGAATCTCTGGGACACATTTAAAGCAGTGTGTAGAGGGAAATTTATAGCACTAAATGCCCACAAGAGAAAGCAGGAAAGACCTAAAATAGACACCCTAACATCACAATTAAAAGAACTAGAGAAGCAAGAGCAAACAAATTCAAAAGCTAGCACAAGGCAAGAAATAATGAAGATGAGAGCAGAACTGAAGGAGATAGAGACACAAAAAACCCTTCAAAAAATCAATGAATCCAGGAGGTAGTTTTTTGAAAAGATCAACAAAATTGATAGACCTCTAGCAAGACTAATAAAGAAGAAAAGAGAGAAGAGTCAAATATATGCAATAAAAAAATGATAAAGGGGATATCACCACCGATCCCACAGAAATACAAACTACCATCAGAGAATACTATAAACACCTCTATGCAAATCTAGAAGAAATGGATAAATTCCTGGATACATACACCATCCCAAGATTAAACCAGGAAGAAGTTGAATCCCTGAATAGACCAATAACAGGTTCTGAAATTGAGGCAATAATTACTAGCCTACCAACCAAAAAAAGTCCAGGACCAGATGGATTCACAGCTGAATTCTACCAGAGGTAGGTAATCATTTTCTTCAAAGACAAAGGACACAGGAGGCATCGTCTCATCCTTTTCACAGTTAATTGGCATGTGTAGTCCTTGCACAAATCCAATTATTGTGGGTTAGATGTACTTCCTTAAACTTGTGCCCCTTTAGTTAAGCAAATTAACAAATCCTCCAGCACTTGATATGCTGTTGCTGAATTGAAAAACGTGTTATTTCCAATTTCCATCATTAAAGAGGATCAAAAACCCATTCACTTTTAGGCGCAAAGTACTACAGTACAAATTCACCATCTTTGCTTTATGGCTATGGTGACTCTCCTATTCTCAGAAATGACATAGTCCCAGGAGCCTTAATTAAGTTATTATTCCTTAGACTTCCACACTGGTCTTATATTATTAATATCATGCTAACTAATCCTGAAGAATAGGAAGTAGATTAGTATTCTGAATGCCCTTGGAACTATGTGCCTTCTGTGGCGTTGAAGATAAGCCTTCAATGACAAACCACTGAGGATAGCCCTAATAATCAGCAACCCTGCTCTCTGGTTACTTTGAGCAATTTGATAACCAGTAAACACCATAACGAATAGAGTCTTTGATCCCAATTATTTTCAAGAGAAGTTTTCTGCAACAGAATGGAGTAAAAGAGTAGTATACATACGTGTTAAACTCAGAGGACTCATCTTTTGCTTCATGGCCTGTAATAACCTTGTTTAGGTATTTTCAGCAACCATACCTGGCAGCAAGGACAATGAAACCAATAGCCCAGATCTTTCAGATATGGCAGTCTGGGCCACTCCACAAGGTTAGCATTCTAGATCAGCTGAAGTATTCACTGAAAGTAAAGGAAAGCTAGTAAGGATAGTAAAAGAGGGAGATGATAAGACAGCTTCTATAGAAGACTAATTTGTTACAACAGCCTTCTTAAATAAGTATTTTATTGAGATTGTACCTGACCACTATTTTGAAATATTCTAAAGAGGAGATTTAATTTGGGGCACCAGAATATGTGAGTAATTAATGGGATGGATTTTGATTGACGTTTTCTGCTGCCCAATATCACATCCTTTTGACCACCAAATTAACTTTGACCTTTAATGCATTGAAAAGTTCCATGTTAACATGACCTGAAGTTGGTGGTATCTCACCTCCATTGTTCTGTACATATTTCAGATTTCTGCCACAGGACTGTCTCAGAAGCAGTGGGAGTCCACTAAGCGTGAAGGCATAAGAAGTCTGTCACATGTGGGAAAGTAGATTCTCCCTGGGGCAATCTTCAAAAAATGTGGATGAAAGCTGATGGATAAATGATCCATTCTATCTTTTCAACAGACAACTACAGGAACCATTCGTTATGTTTCCCTGAGTTCCTAATGGAGTAGAACTTGTACTTGCCACTGGAGTAAGGTCAATAGAGTTTTCTCATTTTGGCCTTTTTGCCTTTATCTCACTCCTTGCTCCTGGTCCCTGGCAGTTCCTTCCAAACATACTGCGTGCATCTAAGCATTTGTCTTAAGCTTTTCCTAAGCTTGGTTAACCCCAAAACTAAGACAGCTGGTATTAACGTATAATTATTAGTTACATTATACATTTATATATCGTACATTTCCCTGGAAGTGAGTTTCATTTCATAATTTTAAAAAGATTTTTTATTACTGTGTAATAGGAATTCATTGGAATGACTTAATAAATGTCATGGAATGATTGATTTGTATTTTAAAACATACAGCTTGGCTGCTGTGTGAAGAATAAATTAAATGAGGAAAGAGTGGAATGCCGGAGACCAGTGAGTGTTCCTGAAGTTGTGAAGATGAGAAGTGAAGTTGATGCCCGTAAATATAGTGACTGTGGAGACAAAGAGGAATCAGTGGATTTCTGATATAATTTGTAGTTAAATTTTTATGATGTAGTGGTGGGTTTAATGTCACTATAAGCAAAATAGGTGGCTTTTTGAAATAAACCTAACACCCATCTTTCATTCAAAACCATTCTTTAAAATTACTCTAAAATATTCATTATGGGTTAAAAATGCTGTTACTTAAT
The DNA here is from genome assembly GCF_000001405.40 of Homo sapiens. Taxonomy (NCBI): domain Eukaryota; kingdom Metazoa; phylum Chordata; class Mammalia; order Primates; family Hominidae; genus Homo; species Homo sapiens. The sequence goes on along the minus strand of NC_000006.12, from coordinate 65,860,834 downwards.
AATGGTTAAGAAGAAAAGAAAAACATTCAAGAAATAGTAAAAGAACTATTCTAAAATAAAATCAGATAGACTTTAAAAGACTTTACTAGATAACTGAGAAAAAATGGTAAAAGAAATGGTAAAAGAAATAATAAAACCATGAATTTTTATTTTTTATTTTTTTGGAGGAAGGAGAGAATGATGTCCAAGAGCAATTATTTTCAATAATTGGTGCTTTCAAGTACAAAGCAAGCCATAGACACAAAAAAATTTAAGAAGTAGCAAACAAAGATAAAGATACCAAAAATGTTTTTAAATGTTCGAATTCAGTTCAAAGATGTGAAGTCTGGTAAAAGTTCAAATTTGAAAGTTTCATCACATAAAAAGTTATTTTCTGAAATAAAATACTTTTTAATTAAATTTAGAATATTGGACTAACAAGAAACACTGCTATAGTTAGTTAATTTTAATTAATATATTTTAATTTACTCATTCATAAACATAGACATTGAACAATAGCTTATATAAAATCATAATAATGATAATAATGAGAGCTAGCATTAATTGAATACTTACTATATGCTAAGACTTTCCTTTTTTTTTTTTTTTTTTTTTTTTTTGAGACAGAGTCTTGCTCTGTCCCCCAGGCTGGAGTACAGTGGCAGGTGATCTCAGCTCACTACAACCACCGCCTCCCGGGTTCAAGCAATTCTCCTGCCTCTGCCTCCTGAGTAGCTGGGATTACAGGTGCATGCCACCACACCTGGCTAATTTTTGTATTTTTAGTAGAGATGGGGTTTGACCAAATTGGTCAGTCTGGTTATCTTTTAACAAGCATTAGCTGAATTTTTCCCTCAACTATTCTAATGAGATACGTATTATTATTATTGTTTTATAGAAGTAGAAACCAAATAAGAGTAAGGTTAAGCCACTTCTGAGGGCTACAAAGCAAAAAGTGCCAGAGGTAAGTTTTAAAACCAAGAATGGTATATTCACAGTTCGTATTTTTAATAAAGCCAAAATAACCATGACTTGACTGTAATTTTAATTGTTTTAATGATCTTATAATTATTACAGAAAATTATTTTATTTTTTCAATTATCAGATTTATACTTGTTCACATTTGTACATAACTAAAATTATAATATGCATTAAAATAGATGTATATATTTAATTTAGCCTTTCTTTTCTTGAAGAGCTATAATTAAATGTGTAGTAAATCTTACATTACATGACATTTTGTAATCATGACCAGATGGAAATCTATATTTTCTTGTTTTAGTAATAAATGGAACTAGTGATAGCTATATAGAAAATTTTTTTCAGATAATTTTGTTTAGTACCAACTGTAATTTTAATACTAATTTTAAAATGAAGTATTCTATTAAAATTTGGAAATTAAAAAAATCTTTATATAGATTTTCTCTTCATGTCATTGTGAACACATTGCTTGAAATTAGAAGGTATTATGTCTTAAATTAAAATTCAATCAAAACAGTAAACCCATTCATTTCAATTGATTAACCTCATTTCATTAACCAATAGCTCTATCCTCTTTCTCCTCTAATTTGTTTAATAAGACAGGTAAAAGATCCAGGTTGAGTTTCAGCAACTTTTACTTACTGATAAAAATTCACCTATAGGCTGGGCATTGTGGCTCACACCTGTAATCCCAGTGATCTGAGAGGCCAAGGTGGGTGAATTGCTTGAGCCCAGGAGTTGGAGACCAGCCTGGCCAACATGGCAAAACCGACCTCTACTAAAAATACAAAATTTAGCAGTGTATGGTGTCTCATGCCTGTAGTCCCAGATACTTCTGAGGCTGAGACGGGAGAATTTCTTGAGCCCAGGAGGCAGAGGTTGCAGTGAACCCAGATGGCACCATTGCATTCCTGCTTGTGTGACAGAGTGAGATCCTATCTCAAAAATAATAATAATAATCTATATAATAAAGCAGCTCCTGCTTTATCAATGTTTTGAAACTTTTTTCTCTCTGTAAGCTCTTCCAAAAGAGGTCTCAAGATATCAATTTGCTTGTGACTCATTTCCTGGTAAAATGGCCCATAGGATGTAGGTAACATAATCAAAATTCCACTGAGTTTTCTAAATTATTGCATTGGGAAAGTGAGGTGGCTGCTTAAAATTAATCTAATCATAAACAGTAAACATTTTTACAGAGAGTGGATTGATGCAGGAGAAAGACTCCACACAGAAGTCTCAGGTATCAATGTAGATGTCTTGGCTCTGCTCCCACAAGTTTCATCTGAAAAATAATAATAATAACTCTTGTTCATATTATGTGCTGATATGGTTTGGCTGTGTCCCCACCTAAATCTCATCTTGAATTGTAGCTCCCATAATTCCTTGTATCATGGGAGGAACCTGATGGGAGGTAATTTAATCATGGGGGTGGGTCTTTCCCATGTTGTTCTCATGGTAGTGAATAATTTTCATGAGATCTGATGGTTTTATAAACAGAAATTCCCTTGCACAAGCTCTCTCTTTGCCCACTGCAATGTAAGAAGTCCCTTTTCTCTTCCTTCATCTTCTACCATGATTGTGAGGACTCCCCAGCCACATGGAACTGTGAGTCCATTAAACCTCTTTCCTTTATAAATTACCCAGTCTAAGGTATGTCTTTATTAGCAGTGTAAGAACAGACTAATAAAGTGAATTGGTACAAGGTAGTGGGGCACTGCTATATAGATACCTGAAAATGTGGAAGCGACTTTGGAAGTGCGTAACAGGCAGAGGTTGAAATAGTTTGTAAGCCTCAGAAGAAAACAGGAAAATGTGAAAAAGTTTGGAACTTCCTAGAGACTTGTTGAATGGCTTTGACCAAGTGCTGCTTATCTCAGATTGGAGATGAGGAACTTGTTGGGAACTGGAGTAAAGGTGACTCTTGGTATATTTTAGCAGAAAGACTTGTGGCACTTTGGCCCTGCCCTAGAGATCTGTGGAACTTTGAACTGGAGAGAAATGATTTAGGATATCTGTTGGAAGAAATTTCTAAGCAGCAAGTTGCTCAAGAGGAAGCAGAGCCTAAAAATTTTGGAAAATTTGGAGCCTGATGATGCAATAGAAAAGAAAAACCCATTTTGTGGGTAGAAATTCAAGCTGGCTGCAGAAAATTGCATAAATAACGAGAAACCAAATGTTAATTGCCAAGACAATGCAGAAAATATCTCCAGGGCATGTCAGAGACCTTTGTGGCAACCCCTCCCATCACAGGCCAGGAGATCTAGGAAGAAAAAATGGTCTCATGGGCCAGTCCCAGGGTCCTCTACTGTGTGCAGCCTAGGGACTTGGTGTCCTGAGTCCCAGCTGCTCTAGCCATGACTAAAAGGGACCAAGGTACAACTTGGGCCATGGCTTCAGAGGGAGTAAGCCCCAAGCTTTGGCAGCTTCTATGTAGTGTTGAGCTTGCAGGTGTGCAGGAGTCAAGAATTCAGGTTTGGGTACCTCCACCTAGAGTTCAGAAGATGTATGAAAACACCTAGATGTCCAGGCAGAAGTTTGCTGTAGGCATGGGGACCTCATGGAGGGCCTCTGCCAGGGCAGTGTGGAAGAGAAATGTGGGCTGGGTGCCCCCAGACAGAGTCCCCATTGGGACACTGCCTAGTGGAGCTGTGAGAAGAGGGCCACCATCCTCCAGACTTCAGAATCATAGATCCACTGACAGCTTGCACCATGCGCCTGGGGACAGCTTCCACCATGCACCTGGAAAAACCACAGACACTCAATGTCAGCCTGAGAAAGCAGCCAGGAGGTGGGCTGTACCCTGCAAAGCCAGAGGGGTGGAGCTACCCAAAACCATGGGAAACCACCTCTTGCAGCAAGGTGACCTGGAGGTGAGAAATTAAGTCAAAGGAGTTCATTTGGGAGTTTTAAGATTTGGCTGCCCTGCTGGATTTTGGACTTACATGATGCCTGTAGCCCCTTCATTGTGGCCAATTTCTCCCACTTGGAATGGGTGTATTTACCCAATATTTGTACCCCCATTGTGTCTAGAAAGTGACTAACTTGCTTTAGATTTTACAGGCTCTAAGCAGAAAGGACTTACCTATTCTCAGATGAGACTTTAGACTGTGAACTTCTAAGTTAATGCTGAAATGAGTTAAGAACTTGGGGGACTGTTGGGAAGGCATGACTGGTTTTAAAATGTGAGAACATGAGATTTGGGATTGGCCGGGGTGGAATAATATGGTTTGACTGTGTCCCCATCCAAATCTCATCTTGAATTGTAGCTCTCATAATTCCCATGTGTCATGGGAGTGACCCGGTGGGAGGTAATTGAATCTTGGGGGATGGTCTTTTCTATGCTGTCCTTGTGGTAGTGAATAAGTCTCAGAAGATCTGATGGTTTTATAAACTGGAGTTCCCTTGTATAAACTGTCTTTGCCCACTGCCATGTAAGAAGTCCCTTTTCTCTTCCATTATCTTCCACCATGATTGTGAGGCCTCTCCAGCTACATAAAACTGTGAGTTTATTAAACTTCATTTCTTTCTGAATTACCCAATCTTGGGTATGTCTTTATTAGCAGCATGAGAACAGATTAATACATGTACTTTGAAAACTAATATATTGTGTCAGTAATTTTAATAGAATTTAGGGATCGATAAATTAAAATTGCTGCATACTATAAAAATGTAAGGTAACATGATTACTAATCTCATCCTTCAACATAATCATTATTTCATATTGTGTTTACTAAGTTAAATGCAAACAACAAACAACTGATATACTTTAACTGCATAGATTTTATTTCTGCATTAACCTCAATTTCATATTTATCTAGAAAAAAAAAGCAGGGCACTAACAAGTGCTTCTTTGATTAGCTGTCCTCACTCAAATGATTATTTACATTATATTTGTAACATATGTAAATGAATATAATGTAAAATATATATTTTAATATAATATAAACATATATAACATATACATACATATACATGTTTATATATAAAAATATGATTTAGATAGATACAATTCTGAAAGTAAAATTTATAAATTTAATATAAATATTAGAATTTTTATATTTTATATAAATATAAAAGTAAATATATAAATATAAAAATAACTATATAAACGTATATTTTAAATAACATAAGATAAATATATATATAATTATTTACAAATTCAAATAGTCCAGAAGATTATACATGCATTCAGTGTTTAGTTATCTCTTATCTTGTTAACTCTTAACACTTAACTCTGTTAACTTGACTGTTAAGAGTCAACTCTTAACTTGTACATTATTTATACTCATGCATTTCTAGCTTTGTTTACCATGGCCGTTACCTGCAAGGAGTCTTAAAATCTCTTAGTGTCTGTATCCCAGGCTATAGCAAGGTAGTTCTACCGAGTTTTACCATCATAACTCTCAATCTTTCCCTCTCTGCGTAACAAAGGATTAGGAAACTCTACACTTGAAACTTTGCTAACACAAATGCACATCTCTGGCAGAATGCTACTGAAAAGATTATTCTTTGTGTCATCTTCCTTACTCTAAGAGCACAAATACACAAATGGTTGATTTTAATATACTTATTTCTTTACTTTCAATTTCTCCCAGCTAAATCCACAGTTGACAGACATATATTTACTTCTACTCAGGAAATAACATATAATATTTGATAACTGTTGTCTCAGCTACAGGGACCAAGAAATGAACAAATTAAAAGGTTGGGGTAGTGTGGACGCAGTTAGCACTGAAAGAAGAATTTTTTTAAGAAGTTTAAGAATGTAGCATATTCAAGGATTTGAATAATCTGGCATTCGCATGCTTATGACTAAAGAAAAAGAATTAGTTACTGATCTTTAATACCTATGATTACTGCTATTAAAAATAATTCATGGAGCCTTACATTAAAAATTCTCTATGAAAATGCCTCAAATTATTTTACCAATGTTATAGCTTATTACTTTTCATTTCATGTTCTTGCCATAATGAGTTATTTTCTTTACAGTTACCCTACACTTTACTGTTTGCCTTTGCCAATCTGTCCTTACTGAGAAAAATGCCCCTGTCTTCCTATGACTTCTGAACATGCAAACCCTGTCTGCTTCTCAAGGGGTCTTCAATGCTCTCTCATGGGCAGAGTGTTTCTGAATCCCTGGGATGGAACTGAGCTCTCCTCTGACTCCCCAAGTCACTTTAGCTGTGTCTCAGTTTTGAGCTTATATTTTTGTGTCTATTATGCATGCACTTAAATAATATCTGGTCTTATGTGCTAATTCCTAATTTACACTCTATATATTCCTACTATGCTCTCCAAGAGAGTATCTTTACTCTCTATAGTGCCATGCCTGGTGCTTTACATGATTATTGACAGGGTGGACATATGAAAAAGGGATTCAGTTAAATTTGCTGCATAATGTCATATTTAACTGTAGCATTCAATAAATATGGTATAATAATCATGGCTAAAATGTATAAGGAAAATTTCAAGTGAAATTTTCATTTCAAAATTGCTGTACTATTTCCTAATCTTAATAGTGAGCTTCTCACAACAAGGTTAAATATCCTTTACTTCATGTGGTATGACATAAATTGCTATGATTCTCCCATAGAAAATTTTTGCTCTTATCATTTAAAAATATGTTTCAAAAATTAAATGTTGGAGAAGAAGCATTTGTACTACATAATTTCTAAATATGTTCAGTAAACATCAAAACAACATTTCAGAGTTGTATTCAAATGTTGTTCATTATTTCCTTTTTGTATAACATTTTAAATATTTATTTAATATTAAAATCATTTTAATATGAAAGTTAAATATGAAAAGAATCATGTTATATGTACTGAACCTGGATCTTCAGGCTCAGATATGGAGCAAATTGGGATGCAGAAACACATAGATAGGAAAGAAAAAGGTGGTAATGGAACTCAATTTGTAAAAATACTAAAACTTTGGTGTGTACGTTGCGGGAGGGGAAAACCAGCAGACCTAGTGTCAGTGGTGAAACAGAACTATCATGTTCAATAGAAAACATCTTCAAGAATAAATTTCAGCACAATGGTAGTCTTTTGTTTCTGGAAGCTCTCACATTGTTTGTACCATTTTTATCCATGTGGAGCAGAACTAGTCAGTGAAAAAGAGGATTGTATAGATTTAGTCAGTGTATCCGCACTCTAATAAAATGAGCTATAATTCAGAACTGCCACAGCTATGATTCAGATCTGAAATGAAGTTAGATTACTGGGGTGGAAGCCCAATTGTATTATCAAACTCAACTGGCTTTAGCTGGATGATGGAATTTAGAAGACATGAAACTATCTTTTCTTCTCAAATAAGATATTTGGACAAAACATTAACCCATTCTATCCTTTGATATCCTTTCAATGCAAGTTTAGCTTACACATTATTCTGGATATGTCAACACTGGATGCAGAGATTCGAGTTAAACTAGACTGAGGAAAACGGGCTCTTTCAATATACATCTACCAAGCTCTAGCATAATTCTATGGAGAGTTATATTTTCCTTTAGACCTCATTTTTAAACATTGTAATATTATTTTATTAATTTTTAAGCCAATGGGGTCTCATTCTGTTGCCCAGGCTGGAGTGTAAGGGAGTGATCATAGACCACTACCGCCTTAAACTCTTGTACTCAAGTGATCCTCTCACCTCAGCCTCCCTAGTAGCTAGAACTATAGGCAGGTGCCACCGTGCCTAGCTAATTATTTTTTGTTGTTGTTGTAGAAATGGGATCTCACTCTGTCGTCCAGGCTAGCCTCAAATTCCTGGCTTTAAGCCACCCTTCAGGCTTAAAGGCCTAGTCCTTATTTTTTTAATGCTGTACAAAAAAAAATGCTATCTTGTTATTTTATACATTAAAATTACCACTATGAGCTCTTTGTAAGAAATAATATATGACAATACATTATGTATTATATGTGAAGTAGACAGTACATTATATGTAAAATATGTATTAGATAAGTATTACTGTATTAATATGTAATATCAGATTATATTATTACATAATATATATTATAACATATATTGCTCTGTCCTTCAGTAGTCGTTTTATTTGTAAACTCTTTTCACATATACATTTTCTTTGCTATTCACAACTTCATTAGTACCACCAAAGGGCAATCACAGCTGCATCTCCCATAAGGCATCTAGTCAATGATTGATAAACATGGCTTCTATATTTCCATTATCTTTTCATGCTAACACATCAGGAAGGAGGCTGACATGGGGTGTTGACAGCTTGAGGAAAAAAGTACATTTCATAAGAAGGTATGGTGCTATGATTGAAAACAGAAATATCCTCATAATTCCTTCAGGTTTTCCCTATCAACACTGTCACTCCAATGAAAAGCGAGGGAATTGTGGTCACTCTGAGGAGCACAGAATAGACAGTATTTTAATTATGAGTAAACTAAAGCTTAAAAGTTTAAATCATTTGCTGAAGACTTTACATCATTTAGAGAGATGGCAAAATATTAAAAACTACACCTTTTTAAGGCTTTTCTATCAATCATTAAGTCAGAGAAGATGGAAGGCAATATTAAAGTACAAGATAGCATGGAATAACAAAAAGTCAAAAATGAGAAAAAGAGAATGCCGATGGCATAGGCGCAATTAAAATTTGATGAAGACAAACACACCAAATTTAATTTCAACATGTTACATATCTTTAGAACTCTAAGTAGTCTTAGAGATCAGCATGGTGCAGTAGAAAGCAATTTGATATGAATTTTAAAAACCTCAATTTAAATCCAAGGTGTTTTATTGCATTCGCAAACTATCTACATTTTACATGTGTTATTTTTCTTTTTTTTACCTTGGAAATAATAACTTGCAGGTGGTTGGGAAGATTTCATGACTCAATGTTTAACAAAGTGCCTGTCTCAGTGCTGATTTCACAAGAAGAGTACAGTAAAATATTAGATGGTGATAGTGATAATGATGATGGCAATGACAAAATTGATGGCAGTGACAACAGTGAATAAAAATAAATAACAGAAATCCAAATAGGGTAGGAGACATCTCTAAATACATGTGATTATTTGCTTTTTTGGTAATTAAGATTTTTTAAAATTTATATTTCAATTTTTACACATTGTTAAAATGACCCTTTGTTTCTGATTCAGTTTTATACGTTATATTTGGAAAATAGGACCACTTAAAGCCTTTAATTGGTTTAAATTGACCATAGTTTATAAACCTATGCCAACAGGGATTTTTAAAATTACATATTTTGTCTAAAGGTGTAATATATGTAGATTGGTGAGTTGGAAAGTGAATTACTCTTTGTCTATGAAAAAGATGGTGTCCTTCGCTGTAGTAGAGAAGAAAAGCAATGGTGAGTTTTGTGTTTCTGGTTGTTAATTATGCCTTCAGGGATGTAAAGGCACAGTTTTGTGTATGTATAAAATTGTAAATACTGTACATTTACTTCAGCTATTTTCTTCCAGATTTTAGTAATTACAGATACCCTTGCCTAAAGTTATTTAAATAGAAAATATAGTGATTCTGGACATAATTCTTCCCTTTATATGCTCCATGTTTTATGCAGAATGGGTTAGTTGGATTGACTTTTAAATCTGCAGTTTCATACCTATTGAAGAAAATGTTTAGTCTGTGCAAATCTTCTCAATATACTAACATAAAGGTACATTCAAATCTGGAATATATTCATTCTTTTACTGTTTTTGTAGGTATTCCTGATATAAGCCCATTCTATCCAGAATGACTTCCATTCTTCTGCATTTTACCTGTGTTAATCAATGGATTTCATCTTCCAGTCTTTGGTCTGTGCTTCTGTGCTATGGAGAAGGGGTTTTACACATCTCTCTGCCACTTTGTGAGAGAGAGAAGCACCCATCTCTTTAGAAGTCACTGAATTCAGTTTGTTATGTGTTGCTTTAGCAAATGTCACTCCCTGCCCACTGGCTATAACAACCAGAGCTTCCTATACTTTCTTAGCTCAGAGTAACTAGATTTAGGAAAATAGAATTATGTACTAAATACTGCTAAGAATTGCAAGGGAAGTTGAATATTTTCTAATGTAATTTCAAACAATTATTATTTAGTGAAGTCAGAAGAATAATTTTAAACAAGAACCTACACAATGCATTACATGCAGTGTGCAATAAAATGGCTGTAGATTTGTAAACAGGCATGCATTCCCCTCCATTCTCACTTAGAAAGAAATAGACTTAAGACATTCTTTTGTCAGAAATCTCTTGGGGTTTGTATAGTTGAAACTAGAGAGTAGGCTAGGCGCAGCGGCTCAGGCCTGTAATCCCAGCACTTTGGGAGGCCGAGGTGGGCAGATCACAAGGTCAGGAGATTGAGACCATACTGGCTAGCATGGTGAAACCCCGTCTCTACTGAAAAATACAAAAAATTAGCCGGGCTTGGTGGCGGGCGCCTGTAGTCCCAGCTACTCCGGAGGCTGAGGCAGGAGAATGGCGTGAACCCGGAAGGCGGAGGTTCCAGTGAGCTGAGATTGCGCCACTGCACTCCGGTCTGGGTGACAGAGTGAGACTCCGTCTCAAAACAAAACAAGCTAGGAAGTAAACAAATACACATATATTAAACACTAATGTTTTCTTATTTTATGCATCTTAGCTTTTTTACGTGATTAATATTGTATATGAGGTACTATAGCCTTTAAAAATATTAGCTGATACATGGAAGTGTTTTTTTTTTTTTTTGCCTTCAAATGTTTTAAATCATAGGATATAAAAGTAATTCAATATACATGGTTTGGCAAGAAAAACATTTTGTTTTACAGGTTTCTATATTCAAATTAAATTTAAAAAATGGTAATGGTAAGTAGGGTCTTTTAAGACTCTTGAAAAATGTTAAGAGAGTGGATATAAGTGTTCTCACCACAAAAATGATAAATCTGTCAGGTAATGTATATGTGGATTAGCTAGATTTAATCATTCCACAATTTATACATACTTCAAAACATCATGCTGTGTATGGTAAATATACACAGTTTTGTCAATTTTAAAATATAAAAATTAAAAATTATTTTTTAAAAGATGTTATATTGTTATTCCACCCCATCAGGCCTCTGAGCCCAAGCTAAACCATCATATCCCCTGTGACCTGCAGGTATACATCCAGATGGCCGGAAGCAACTGAAGATCCACAAAAGAAGTGAAAATAGCCGTAACTGATGACATTCCACCATTGTGATTTGTTTCTGCCCCACCGTAACTGATCAATGTACTTTGTAATCTCCCCCACCCTTAAGAAGGTTCTTTGTAATCTCCCCCACCCTTAAGAATGTTCTTTGTAATTCTCCCCACCCTTGAGAATGTACTTTGTGAGATCTACCCCCTGCCCACAAAACATTGGTCCTGACTCCACCGCCTATCCCAAAACCTATAAGAACTAATGATAATCCCACCACCCTTTGCTGACTCTCTTTTCGGACTCAGCCCGCCTGCACCCAGGTGAAATAAACAGCCTTGTTGCTCACACAAAGCCTGTTTGGTGGTCTCTTCACAGGGACGCACGTGACACCCCCCAAGTTTGTAAGGGGAAATTAGAAAGGCATCTTACTGCTACACAAAATACTGATAGTCTGATAAGAGATAAAAATAAATGGATAAATGCTCACAAAAAGGCAAAGCAGAAGACAGGACAGGAGCCATGTACTTTGAACTAACTGCAAATCTTAATGATAAAGGCGATTTTACTTTTGACATTTAGATTAATTCCCCCTTATTATCTTCGAAGTATTTGCATACATATTTTATATATCCAATTAGATATAGTTTGCATATTTGTCCCCTCCAGATATCATGCTGAAATTTGGTCCCTGGTATCTGAGATGGGGACTAATGAGAGGGGTTTGGGTTATGGGACTGCATCCTTCATGAATGGCTTAGTGCCATTCTCTCTCATGGTAATGAGGGAGCTCTGACTCTATTAGCTCGCCAGAGATCTGATTGTTCAAAACATCCTGCAAATTAAAACTGCAATGAGATACCACCATATTATCCCAGTCAGAATGGCCATTATTAATAAGTAAAAAAAAAAAAAATTAATAGGTGTTGGCATAGTGCAGTAAAAATGGAATGCTTATACAACATTGGTGGGAATGTAAATTAGCACAATCTCTTTGGAAAACAGTATGGAGATTTCTCAAAGAATTAAATTACATTTACCCTTTGATCCAGCAATCTCACCACTGGGTATCTACCCAAAGGAAAAAACTCATTATATCAAAAGGACATCTGCACTTGTACACTACTGAGCCATAAAAAAGAAGGAAATAGTGTATTTTGCAGCAACTTGGATGGAAGTGGAGGCCATTTTCCTAAGTTAAGTCACATAGGAATGGAAAACCAAATACCACACATTCTCACTTATAAGTGGCAGCTACGGTATGGGTACACAGGTGTCAGAGGTGTGTGAACCAGAGCAACTCCATCTTAAATAGGAGCTGGGTAAAATGAGGCTGAAATCTACTGAGCCACATTGTCAGATGGTTAAGGCATTCTAAGTCACAGGATGAGATAAGAGGTCAGCACAAAATACAGGTCATAAAGTCCTTGCTGATAAAACAGGTTGCAGTAAAGGAGCTGGCCAAAACCCACCAAAACGAAAATGGAAATGAGAGTGACCTCTGGTGGTCCTCATTGCTACACTCCCACCAGCGCCATGACAGTTTACAAATGCCATGGCAACATCAGGAAGTTATCCTTTATGGTCTAAAAAGAGGGGGCATGGATAATCCACCCCTTATTTAGCATATCATGAAGAAATAACCATAAACATCGGCAACCAGCAGCCCCAAGGGAGGCTATGGAGAAGCCATTTTTTTTTTAATTCCTTGACTTTTTTAATAAACTTGCGTTCACTTTGCACTGTGGACTCGCCCTGAATTCTTTCTTGCAAGAGAACCAAGAACCCGCTGTTGGGTTCTGGATCCAGACCCTTTTCCTGTAACACAGGGGCACACGGATTGGTGTAATGGACATTGAAGACTCAGAAGAGGGTATGAGAGTGGTAAGGGATGAAAAATTATCCATTGTGTATAATGTACACTATTAAAATGATAGGTACACTAAAAGCCCAGACTTCACACGATATAATTTATCTAGGTAACCAAAAACATCTGTACCCGTAAATCTATTTAAATTAAAATTTGTATTTAAAAAAAAGATCCTGGTTTATCCCTTTCCTCTCTCTTTCTTCCTTCCTCTCTTACCATGCGTTGGCCCTCCTGCACTTTCCATCATGAGTAGAAACAGTCTGAGGCTCTCACTGGAAGCAGATGCCGGCACCATGCTTCTGGTACAGCCTGCGGAACCATGAGATAAACTTCTTTTCTTTATAAATTACCCAGCCTCAAGTATTATTTTATAGCAATGCAAATGGACTAAGACACCATTTAAATCTGTCCTGTGTTTCTAACAGATTTTAGTGTCTCTCTTCTAGACTAAATTGTGAATATCTTTTGTGAAATGACTTCTTTTAATGACTGAAATTCCAAAAGTTCCTTGCATTGTATCAAAAATGTGATTGCTTGTTTCATTTTTTTCCTAGTCCTCAGATGCTCAAAACTGAGTTAAAAATCTTTCTTGGGACGCCGTACATATTACTATCATTCTGTTTTGTTTATCGTATGTATTTCTATTTATTTATTTATTTTTTTTTAACTTCAACACCAATCTATATTCCATTCCTTTCCTTCTCCAATTATTCATTTGTATGATAAGTTAATGGGACTGGGTATCTGAATGATACTGTTGAGGTGGCATACAGTAAATATTATGAGTGGCACATCAAGTTTTCTATAATACACTATATACATTTTTTGTGTTTTCAAATCTAAAATATTTACATATGTCTTGCTAATTCAATATATTAATTTGAATGTATGTTCTAATGCTTTTGAAACTTTTTGGAAAATCGTGATGGTGCAAACTTAATTATTAGGGACCGCTGAACCTCTGAGAATTTGGGGTTTCATACAAAAATTTTCTGAGATCAATTTTTAAAAATTGAACTATCACTAACCAAAAATGTAAAAAAATAAAGTAAAAGAATACATTTAAGTACAGTGTGATGCTCAAGGCCAGAATGCAAAAGAAGTATTTTAAAATCCTTGGTAGATAGTATTTGTCTATACTTTGTCAAATTATCCAATTTAAAGTGCATTGGCTTCTATATAATATAATAGGTGTCTTCTATAATGCACTATCTGATATTCTTTTAGAGGAAACTATTTTTGTCTATTTTACAACAGTTTGAGCATAGGTAAGAATTTAGTTGCAGAAGCTACAAACATTCTAGTTCTTTTAAAGCAAAAAAAAAAGAAAGAAAGAAAAGAAAAAGAGAGAGAGAGATGTATATCTAATAGGCAAACCATAATTGGAGGCCTGATGGAGTAAACTCTAGGATGGGCCTTCCATTTGGCTGCCCATCACTCTACAATCAGGAAGGTGGGAAAATATAAGGCTACCCAACAATACAGAATTCAGGAAGCTGCTAAAACCCTTAACAATTGCATCCTGCTCTCCATAGAGGTGATACCAGGACACTAGAAACATTCCTTAAAGAAAAGAAAGACTGTGGTTGCCAGCAAGGGGGAAAAACACAAAGCAGTTCCACTTTTGGCCCACTAATCTCCTAAAAGTAGAACAAATTGTCAGAACTTAACCAATATCCAGAACCTCAGCATCAAAGGATTCCAGGAAATGTACTTTTACAGCATTTGAAATGTTAAGAGGAAACAGTAGAAGCATGTGTGTGTGTGTGTGTGTGTGTGTGTATGTGTGTGTACGTATTTGTGAGTAATGAAAAAAGCTACCATAAAAAAATGTAAAAATGCCATGGTTGACATTTATAGGAATATAACAATTCATAAAGGGATAAACCAGGCTCTTTTTTTTAATACAAATTTTAACTGCGGTAAGATGTGAGACTGTTGGGTAATATGTATAACAAAGTACTTTGACATGTGCGTGCCTCACTTCTAAACTCTCAGATAAGAAGACCTCTACTAGAAAGAATAGGAAGGATATAACATCCGTGAAATTAAACAAGGGGTTAGGACATATTAGCATAATAGCATAGAGACGTAAACAGAGAAGCTAGTGAATTATAGAACAATAGAATGTACATACCAAGAGTTGCTCCTGTTCCTAACGCTTTAGAACATGCTAGTATTACTTTTTCTTATCCGACTTTTTCAGGGATAACTTTGTTTTAAGGAACTGTAATAGACACATGACAATTAAAAAAAAAAAATCCACAGAGTTGAACTTTAAAGATAGTAGCTCAACAGTTAAAATGCATTAGAATTGCCCATACCCTTCAAAAAAGGAACTGCTGTCCTTTTTCAAGGATCATAATTAGCAGTTTCCACTGGCCAGCTCCTCCTGAATCTTCCCAGCAGGAGAGAGATGCCTTCTCCATTGTCACATAGACTTTCTCAGAGCAACCTGCATGATATGCCTGGATGAGATGAGGGTATAGAAACCCAACCATTTTGTCATGATGTGGGACTACTCTGACAGATAATATTTGCTTCAAAGCTTCCCACTGGGTTGAGCGAGGTTTGATGGATCTGCAGTGGAGATTACTTCTTCCGCCACCCAATTCTGCTCTCTGACTTTCCTTCAGAGTTATTGATTGCTAAACAATATTTTGCATTTCAAATCCCATTTCAGTATCTGCATCCACAGAACCCTTCCAGGGAGGACTATTAATAGGAATCATACTGCAATGTATTGAAATATATTAAATTTTTATTAGTGCATCCTGCCTTTCTTATATAAACTGTGTCACTGGGTATGCAAGTATTTGATGAAAGAAAGTTCTTCTGTATAGAATAATCCTAGCCAAACAATTAAGAAGGAATAATAGAATTTTAATTCCATCATTTTGTAACTTCTAATGAATTAATGGATTCAGGCATTGTATTTCAAGAAATGCTAACATCACAACAAAGATATCAGAATGATTATGTGCCTTTTGGTGGAAAAATCAATACCTAGGAGGTAATTTTTCTACCCTTTCCTACTGAATAGAATCTGAATTTGATTAATTCTCCCTACATAAGTGCTAATTTCCAGGAAATGCAGGGGAAAGAAAAACAAGTGAACTTGACCATGGGATACAATTTCCAAAATTTAGACTTTGGTGAACTCCATAGAAAGGGTAACTTGGTTTCTACAATAAATAAATTATAAAAAGTCAAAAAGTAAGAGATGGAGGAAAAATGTATAAATTTAAAATGCTTTAATAATACTGTTCAACCAACTGTAATATGAACTTTATTTGGGTTATGATTTCCTTTAAAAACTCTTATAAATGCAACATTTGTAAGATATTTATTAATTTGAACATTCATTTGGATATTTAATACTATGATATTTTTAATTTTTACAAGTTATAACGGTATTAGGGTTGTATTTCAAAATGTTAGTGTTTTTGTCATTCAGAGGTAGATACTATTTTTTTTTCACATGGAATTAGGATTTGCTCCAGAATAATTTGGAGTAAAGAATGGGATAGAGTATAAACATATCAGACTGTTTATGAGTTAATAATTGCTAAAACTAGCCAACAGGTACATGGGCTTTAATTATACTCTGCTGTCTGGTTTTGTATCTATCTTTCTGAGGTTTTTTTTTTAAATAATACATAAAAATTTCGAAGTATGTACTGAAAAATAACAACAGAAACATGACATGAGCACAATCAGAGCAACTAAATGAATCAAGACACTGCCAAAAGAGATTTATTTTGGATATTTCAGTGGGAACTAGATAGAAAGGTGTCACCTAGAGGAGAAGGGGTCGTATCCGTAGACATGTTTCATGTAGTTTAATATAGAAAAGCATAAAACATAAAATAGAGTATATCATTATTTTTCTGTTAGTAATCTCTTGTAGTAGCAAAATAATGATACCAGAAGAAAGTGTGCCAGGGACAAATGAAGCATAGTTATCTATGCTTCATCAGGGAAATCCCTGAGGGCAACATCACTGATTGCCCAGAGTAGTTTCTAATGTGGCTGACTGAATTCTTCTTCAGACATATCTCTAATATAGGCTTTTAGTGGCTGCCTTGAATTCATTCAAGTTACCACTTAAGATGAAGTATAATCTACATCCACATTCAATGCACATTTTTTCCTCAATCAAAAGCATTAAGAAACACAATGATATTGTAATTTTGATTTCAGTTATCAATTTGGAACACTGTTAACTGGAATTTCCATTAAGGAAATTCTAGTATTTCATGTAATTTTTGTTCTGAAACATACTTAGAGACCAACATATGTTAGACCAAATTACAGTTAATTTTTATGATAGATTTCTTCAAATCCAAATGTTAACTTAGAAGGCAGTCTTCATCTCCAATACAAGAGAAGATGCACATTTGTAATAAAAAGTATAATTAATTCTATGTTCACAGTTATTGCAAATTAATCAAGATATTTATAAAGAAAAAGTAGATATACATTTCTTTATGGGATATTGTTTCAGAATTTATTAGTTAATGTAGAATAGCAAAAATAATATATTTTATGTGATGACATGTAAGAAATAGTTAAAGGCCAGGTTTGTTCAGATTTAAACTCAGTCACAGTGATGTCTTCCAGTTATTTGTGTACATTATTTTTTATGTGAAATGGTATTAAAAATAAAAGTGAGCATCTTTCAGGTAACCATTATTACTATTCCAGTGACTATTATTCCTGTCCTAGTGATATCTGATAAATATGGAAAACAATAGTTTTTCTAAAAGAAATGTGTTACCTTACTATATCATAAATTTCTCAGTAGATTTACCAGAGTTAACAATTATTTCTTATTTTTCCACAGTGTTAAGTGCAATATCTAATATGTTGGAGGAACCCCAGATATATTTTTGAAATTAATAAATTGATAAATGTTTAGAGATTAGGAATATTTTTAACTTGATTATTTTTGTTTGTTTTCTAATTTAGAAAAGAAAGGCTCTGAAATATTTTTAGATGTTTCATCAAATAAATTTTAAAATCACTTAATAATGGCAAAAGGCATTACATTTTACTATGTGGACTAAAAAAATCTGTGCTTTTAAACTATATTTATCATAAAAGTAGCATATTTTGAATTTGATATTTGCTAACCTGGATGGTAAAAACTTTAACAAAGTATTTCTCTTAAATATAGTAAATGAAGTGGCATTATTGAGTCATTCTTAGACAAGGGGACTGTAATTTCTGGAAGTTAATTTGTCCACAATCAAATACTTAGAAATTGGAGGAGTTGATCCGAAACTACATTAAAAAATTTAAGACTGCACTTTTCATTGTACACTTAAAATATTGCAATAAGAATTCAAATGTGAAATTACCAAAATTTTGTGTTATTTGAAGTTAGAAAACTCAGGTAAACCTATGATCAATAATTTTAATTAGATTTGCTTATGTCCTCCAACTCAGCACCTTAAATTAACAAGGACAAAGAGTAGTTCTATGATGTATAATCTATAATGGATACAGATCATTAATGTGCACTCCACAAAATAGCAACTGGACAAGAGGGTGAAGAAGAGATGAATGGATTGAGTAGACTAATTAGCAAGCTGAAGTGTAAGAGTTACTAGCAGCAATAATGTGGTAGGAAAGACACTGCAAGCAATGTAGGATAAATAATGACTATAATTGTAATAAAAATAACAAGTATTCTGGGAAACAAGTGCTACTGCAGTCTGATTTAAGTAAATTTCTTTGACTGTTACTAGATTTACTTTTGAAGGTGCAAATCAAAATAAAATTAAGGCAAAATTTGACTACATCACACAAAGTGGGAACCGTTTATGACAAAGGCATTGTTGCAGTTCATTTGTATTTATTCTCATCACTGATTTTCTTATAAAAAAATTCTGTTTAAATACCACCAAAAACACATAGTAATGCTAAACACCTTACATTAAGAGCTAGATTTATGAAACCAGATGTTTTTGAAAATTTGTAGTGAAATTGAGTAATTAGATGTTGGTTGTTTTTATAATCTCACTATAAGTTTAATGTACGTATTTATGTACGTAATTGTGTGTGCATAATATATTTGCAATTATATAAGGTTGAAATTATTATAAAGAATAATTTGACCTACGTAAATGGATATTCCATATTGCCTACATTTCAATGTATTTCCAATTAAAATAAATTTCTATAAGAAAATGAAAGATTGTCAATAAAAGACTAGACCCCCAAAATTAGTAATGTATATTTTGTCAAAATGTGATATAGTTCTTAAACAATTAAGACTATTGATATTTACAAATATTTTTTAGTGGGCATCAGTGTCTTATGTGTTTGACACCAATAATAAATATTTGAAACTGTAACTTTGGTGACATTTAATGTTTTGTGTAGGATTTTAGCAGCAGCTAAAAAATCAACTGAAAGAACTGTAATAGAAATGGAGATAAAAAACAGAGTTAAAGTTAAACAATATTTAAGTGAATCACAACAAAATATATCACTTCATAAGATGCATATTCATTGTTACATATTGCTAAATCTCAAAAGTCTTAAACAAGTTATTTACAAAGGGAATCACATAAAATATACAAATACATGTACCCCTTAGAAGTTTGTTCAGCTATAAAATGAGCAGCAGATTTCAATTTCCTCCACTGTCATCCCATGAAAAATGAGTTTTATTGTAAGTGTTGTAAACCTTAGCTTACCAATTTAAAATGCATGTTTATTTGGCTGTCTCAGAATATAAAGTACCCATACTTCAAAATCCCATTTAAAAATAATAATAAAGTAGTATATCCAGATTCATTCCCAAGTTCAACAACTTGGAATTCAGTATTTAATAAATCTATGAATTCCTAGCACTGTGCTAGTTTCTGATAATAACATTGTATTAGTTTCAAGTTGTATTAGTCTCAATATTTGAAACTTTATGCTTAAATGTTCATTTAAAAATGAAATATTTAAGATTATTAGCATGCACAATAAGTAGAATTTGATTACAATTTAATCTTAGCTCTTTGACTACTATTGTAGTAAAAAAGACATTCTGTACTACTAATAAAAGTGTAGCAATAGATACAAGTTCATACATTTATTTTTGTATTAATACCTATAGATATGTATTGGTAAGTAATCCCTTATTTTTTGTATTTTAATGAAAACAGAAAACATAATATTTATTCTTAATTTTTACAGAAAAAAGGGAATTTACATATTGAATATCCTAGGTAAATTTTATATTAATAAAACAAAAATTTTAATATATCAATAAACATATTTGGGTAGTATTGCCTCCTACTTACTTAAATATGTATTTATATGATTTATATTTTCCATTATGTTTTTATAACATTATGCATATATTAATGTTTTATTTTGTAATGTATTTACAGAACACTGTCTTATATACAAAGTATTTTAACACTAATTTTTTCATTTGATACTTAAAATAGTCTTGTGATTTGGACAGTACTGGTACAATTATCGCAGTTTTACAACTGGTACAGATAACTTGGCCAAGGTCATTTAGCCACTAAGAGTCAATTAGTTCAAATATCTAGTAGGTGATTGAACTAAAATTAAAGTTCATAGTTTTTATTTTATAGCGAATAATTATTTTAAATAAAGGACTCAGCCACTCTAAAATAATGCATGGATTGGTTTTGTACCATTGTATTAGAACAAAGAAAATACATCTCTGTATTCTCTGCAAAGATTCAACAAAACAGGTTTGTCCTTTCCTTTGTTTTTCTTTTTAGGGAAGTGTAGTGGATTTATTCTTTTTGTTTGTTTGATTTTTGTTCTATCAATAAATGAGCATCTAAAACTTTTATTGGAAGAGCCATAGTGTTAATGGTTGAATTTCCCCAGTATCAGATCAATTAGACATGCATAGATTTAAAGCAAAGCTTGGAACAATGTTCGCATGTGACCCATATGTTTCTACACATTTGCTAAAGAGGTTTGAAAATTGGTAAAAAAGATATTCTATAAATAAAAGTTAATATTTTTCAAACCGATATTAGCTGGCATTGCACTGATGGCTATGGAGCCATTGTTCTCAAACTTTTTTGTTCCAAGGAATCGAAAGACATTTTGATCAGGAGGGTTTTATCCAGTAATGTGATAAATATTTAACAACAGGCTCTCGGGGAAGAAATGGGTGAACAAACCTTATTTGCTGTATTTACTGATTGTTGTGATGTCAATACTTCTACCATTTTCAATGTCAGACTACCAATGTGATATCACTGAACAAACAATTGGAAAGACATGTGCACAATTAGATCTCACAAGCCCAGGAAAGCTAGTTCCAGCACACCACTGGTTATATCTATGGATATTTACCATAAAATAAATTAAATCAAAATGTTTAAAAATAATTATAAATGAATTCATTTTAAAATAACAATAATCTATCTATTAACAAAAGTAACATGATCTTGGTAAAAAATAATATTTTCCAAACAACAACAAAAAATGTTATAGGGAGAACTGCCCTTGTTTTACATATTCTCAAATTACTTTAATATACAACTTAATAGAAGACTGCTGGATCTTCATATCTGAGAAAGCATTCAATCTGGTGTAAAATCACTTTAAGCGTCCACTTTAAAAAGTGTCCACTGCACTATAGATCTGTGACAGATAGAAACAAAAAAAAGAGAACATCTTAGTATTACGAAGATATCTGATCTCACAGACCCACAGAATAGGTTTTGAGGACTCACTGGAATCCTTGCATCACACTTTGAAAAAATGCTACTAAAGAGAAATAGTTGGAACCAAAAAATGGCCTATGTTGAAATTATCTGAATAAAAGGAAAGCAAGTCACCATGACTGTGATTTTTCTTCTCTGAGAAAAACAGGTGGTAGCATTCCAGGACTTTTCTGTAGTTCAGCTAAAGACAGGGTCCTTGTCACACGGCCACGAGAAATTAGGCTTGCAGACAATTTGAAGGGTGAGTAAAGCAGGGTTTTATTGGGTGAAAAGGAAGAAAAGAGGAAACAGAGACTGTTAGTAAAGCGAGAGTATGTGTTTCTCTGCCAGTGGGTTTCCAGCCTCACAGATTGAATTCCAAGTTCCACCCAAGAAAAGGAGGGGCCAGGATCCTCCCCACTGCAAAGGATGTAAAGTTCTGTGGCTCCACCCCAATGTGAACTCTTCTCAGTGCGCAGGCTGGTTGGAGTTTCTCTGGGAACCTCTTCCCACCTGGCTGTCTCAGTAGGGGAGAGAGAGAGACAGAGAAACCATGAGGCACTATACTAATGGTATAGTTTATAGATCGTAAAATTCACCGGGCAATCTGTGATCTTCTGAGCAAGGTCCAGACAAAGTGAGGAGCCGAAACAAATCGAGATTTTAAAATATATGAATTTATTAATATTGTCCTACTTTTCTGTGCCTCCCACATTTGTAGGAGGTACACTGATGATCATCTATATATGTAGAAAGTCCTATGGAATCTACAAAAAAGTTATTAAAACGATTGTTTGCGTTTTGCAAAGTTGCAGTCAATTGGGTCAATATAAAAATTCAATTGTATTTCTATACGTTAGAAATTAAGAATCAAATTGAAAATTTTAAATGTACGGTATTATAAAGCATTCAAATAATTAGGGACAAATCTGAGGAAAGATGTGCATTCTCTGTGTACTGAAACACTGGAATATTGCTGAAACAAATGTTAAATGATCTAAATATATGGGGATAGATACTGTGTTTATTGTTTGGGAGATTCAATAATGTTAAGAATTCAGTTCTCTGAAAATTGGTCTCTGTATTCAACACAATCTGAAAATAAGTTTCAGAATCGGTAGACATTGCGAACCAGGTTATGAAGTGCAAGGCTGCAGTTGCTTGGGAGGCTGGAAAGCCTCTCTCCATAGAGGAGATAGAGGTGGCACCCCCAAAGGCTCATGAAGTTCGAATCAAGATCATTGCCACTGCGGTTTGCCACACCGACGCCTATACCCTGAGGGGAGCTGATCCTGAGGGTTGTTTTCCAGTGATCTTGGGACATGAAGGTGCCGGAATTGAGGAAAGTGTTGGCGAGGGAGTTACTAAGCTGAAGGCGGGTGACACTGTCATCCCACTTTACATCCCACAGTGTGGAGAATGCAAATTTTGTCTATATCCTAAAACTAACCTTTGCCAGAAGATAAGAGTCACTCAAGGGAAAGGATTAATGCCAGATGGTACCAGCAGATTTACTTGCAAAGGAAAGACAATTTTGCGTTACATGGGAACCAGCACATTTTCTGAATACACAGTTGTAGCTGATATCTCTGTTGCTAAAATAGATCCTTTAGCACCTTTGGATAAACTCTGCCTTCTAGGTTGTGGCATTTCAGCTGGTGATGGTGCTGCTGTGAACACTGCCAAGGTGGAACCTGGCTCTGTTTGTGCCGTCTTTGGTCTGGGAGGAGTTGGATTGGCAGTTATCAAGGGCTGTAAAGTGGCTGGTGCATCCCGGATCATTGGTGTGGACATCAATAAAGATAAATTTGCAAGGGCCAAAGAGTTTGGAGCCACTGAATGTATTAACCCTCAGGGTTTTAGTAAACCCATCCAGGAAGGGCTCATTGAGACGACTGATGGAGGAGTGGACTATTCCTTTGAATGTATTGGTAATGTGAAGGTCATGAGAGCAGCACTTGAGGCTTATCACAAGGGCTGGGGAGTCAGCGTGGTGGTTGGAGTAGCTGCTTCAGGTGAAGAAATTGCCACTCGTCCATTCCAGCTGGTAACAGGTCGCACATGGAAAGGAACTGCCTTTGGAGGATGGAAGAGTGTAGAAAGTGTCCCAAAGTTGGTGTCTGAATATATGTCCAAAAAAATAAAAGTTGATGAATTTGTGACTCACAATCTGTCTTTTGGTGAAATTAACAAAGCCTTTCAACTGATGCATTCTGGAAAGAGCATTCGAACTGTTGTAAAGATTTAATTCAAAAGAGAAAAATAATGTCCAACCTGTCGTGATGTGATGGGAGCAGCTTAACAGGCAGGGAGAAGCGCCTCCAAACTCACAGCCTCGTAGAGCTTCGCAGCTACCCCAGAGAATAGTGTTATGAGTGTAATTCATGAATCTCTATAATCAACGACAAGGATAATTCAGTCATGGACCTGTTTTCTGGACGCTCCTCCACATAAATAATTGCTAGCTTATTAAGGAATATTTTAACATAATAAAAGTAATTTCTACATTTGTGTAGAAATTGTCTTTGTTTTATGCTGTAATCATTGTCATGGTTTGTCTGCCCATTATCTTCATTCTGTAAGGGAAATGTAAAGGAAGCAGGGCAGTGGTGGGTGTCTGAAACCTCAGAAACATTCGTTGAAGTTTTAAGGGTCTCAGTCCCGTTGATTGAAGAACAGATCCTAGCCATCAGTGACAAAGTTAATCAGGAGCCAAGTCTGCTTCTGTGATATTATCTTGAAGGGAGGTACTGTGCCTTGTTCGTGCCTGTACCCCAAATTCCTAGTATGGCATCTGCCCCTCAGGGGACACTAAAATGTATTATTGAAACAGCATTCTGGACTTAAATAGGTGTATGTGTGTGTTGGTTGTGGCTGTACTATTTCTAGTATAGTGAATTACATACTGAATATCCAAGTTCTCAGCACCTACTTTTGTCAAATCTTAACATTTTGCCACTTCCACATCACATTGCCATTCCTCCCCTCCAGAGGTAACAATTATCCAAAATTTGATGTTTGTCATTCCTGTGTTGTTGTACTTTCACTGTGTATAACCTAAACCATCTACTCTTTAGTACTGTTTTATATATTTTTAAGCCTTATACTTGCTCATTCTACAGCTTTTCTTTTTTTCACTCATTATTGTATAATTATATGTGAAGCTTTCATTCATTAATTTTAGTACTGTGTAGCAGTATTCAATTACGCGAACTATCTTAATTCATCTGTTCTCCAGTTGAAGGCATGAAGTTGTTGCCAGTTTCTGTATTACAACACTGTAGTGGAACATTCTTCTGCATTGGGCTCACTACATTAGTTACTTAAGATGTGTATCACAGAATAAACACATTTAGCCTTATAGACATTGCCAAATTTATCTTCAAAGTAAATGTGAGTTTTTGTGAATTACGTGAGTGTAGAATGGTGTTTTATTATGAGTTTAGTTTGCATTTTCCACAATTACTCATTAAATCCTTCATTCTAATGTACATTTTATTGTGAAGAACCTGTTCATATCCTGTGCCCAACTTTGTATTGAATTATTTCTTTTTCTCTGAGTAATTTTTAGGAGTTCTTTTATTCTAGACATCAATCATTTGTCAGTTTTATATGTTGCAAATATCTTCTAGTCTATCTAGTGACTTTTCTTTTTACTTTATGGTATTTTGTTGAATAAAGTTTTAATGTAGTCAAATAAAGAAAATAAGTTTCAGCAGTTTTTTTTTTTTGTAGAAATTGACAAGCTGATTCAAATATTGATATGGAAATGCAAGGACTAAGAATACCAAAACAACTTTGAAATTGAACAACAAATTTAAATGACTTATGCTTTCTAATTCCAAGAAAAATTAGTTTCAATAAAACTACACTAATTAAGACTGTGATATTTACATAAAGATTAGATTAATGACCAGCAGAGCAGAATTGAGAGTCCAGGAATAGACCCAAAAATGTATGGTCAATTGCTTCTATGGGGTTTATAAAGAATAGCACTCCTGACCTGGAATAATTTATTTTCACCTCATCATGATTAGCAACCCATACCACAAGAACTCACACTCTGATGGCTGAAGAAATTTATATTGAGTACAGACCAGAAAAAGCCATTCATCTTTTCTCTATTTCTCTTGAAGCACTCTTCTTAGAAATGCAGTCTCCAGGTAACAAGTCTGATGGCTCTGAAATGTCCATACTGGAGAGGCCATACCTCGGTGCTTCCGTAAATAGCACCAGCTGAACTCTCAGCTGACAGCCAATATAAACAGTCAGGCAAGTGTGAGAGCCATCTTGGATGCCCTAACCTGTTGAATTTTCACCATAGCTAACATCTGACTTTAAATTGTGTAAGAGACTATGAGAACTTCCAGTCAATCTCACTAAATCCTTGTCCCACAAAATGATGAACAAAATAAGATGCTCGTTTTAAACATCTAAGCTTTAATGTAATTTGCAATCTAGCAAAAGGTAACTGGAACATAGCCTTACCATAACATGCTCCAGAATTATCCTAATATGTACTCATCATCTGCCTTCTATTTTACTCATTTCCCCTTTAAAATTGGAATTTTTATAGCTCTATCATTTGTCGATTAACTGTCTTCTCTACCATTCATTTTTCTTTCTTCCAAAATCTTATGCCTATATGTTTTTTAAGTACCATGTAGATAAGTTATTTTCAAGATATGCCTTTCTCTTGTTTGGTACATGTATCAGGTTACTATGGAACAGTCTTTAAAATTCCTGGAAGCTCTTTTGCCTAGTTTAGAAGGTCTGCAAGTTAACCCCCACTAAATCTTTCAAAAATATTTTTAAAGAACTTATAGCCACTCCCTTGATTTAATTTTATCTCATAATTTCTTACTTTAAGGATATTTGCTTTTGAAAGAATGGAGATGAAAAAGTTTTTAATCTCCATGTAGACAAACTCTGGATCTTCTATATTTCCTCTAAATTCTGCTTGCAGACTGTTTTCTTTCACTCATGTCTTTCTTCCCATACAATGTTTCAATATTTTGCCGAGAAATAGCCTTAACAATATCTACATGTCCATTAGATTTTTTCCATCTTCCATGTTACCAATAGGGTACAATTTTCGAATTGTTTTGCTATTTCATATGAGACATCATATTTTAAGCCTGTTTAGATGTTTCCTCACTACTTTTTCACGTTTACTAACAAAGTTCTCATCATTTTTCAGTCTTCTTAGAGTTCCCAAATTGTTTTTTCATCCTGTTCCAGCCACCATGTCAAATCATATGCCATTATGTTTTAGAATTTTTGGTTATGTAGTACCCAACTTCCAATTTCTGTATCAGTTAACTTATCCTGCAAAACAAGATATTCTAACTTTAAGCAAGTTAAAGCATACAAATTTATTATTTCTTCATGATTCTGTATATTGTTCTGGCAGTTTTTCAGTTCTGGTCCAGGTAAGCTGAAGCTGGAGGGTCTAAGGTACCTCAGTGTCTGTGGAGATTAGGAACTGTAATGTCTGAGAAGACTAAGGGCCTCTCTCATTCTTCTAGCCCAGTCTTGTTCATGTGATGAATGAAGAGTTTTCATTATCAACAGAAGCCAAGTACCAGTGCAAAGGAACATTTCAAGTCCCTGTGTGCATCATATTTGCTATCTCTCATTGCCAAAATCAAGACAAAGGCCAATGCCATGAAGAATGACTCTGAAACATCCATGCTGGAGAGGACATACCTAGGTGCTGCCATAGACAACACCAGCTGAACTCTCAGCTGACAGCCAACATAAACAGCCCAATGTAAACATGAAGAATGGCATTGGCCTTTGAAGACCAGTGGTGATGAAGAATCAGACTTCTCTTTAAATGGAAAGTCAGTCAAAGTCATATTATATAGAAACTCTATTGAGTAAACACGTCCCACCCCAAATGCATATGTTGAAACCTAATTCCCAGTATGAGGTACTGGGGGAGTGAGGCCTTTGGGAGTAGATTGGGTCATGAGGGCTTTTATTAATGGGATTAGTGCCCTTTACAAAAGTAATCTCAGAAAGCTCATTTACTCCTTCCTTGTGTGAGGACACAAAGAAAAGTCAGCCATCTGTATACCAGAAAATGGTCCACAAAGACTCCAAATCTGCCAGCATCTTGTTCTTGAGACTTCCTCAACTCCATTACTATGAGAAACAAATTTCTGTTGTTTGTAATCCATTTGGTTTGTGGTGTTCTGTCATTGCAGCCTGAATGAACTATAAAAAGGGTCATAGAGAGAGGCATGAACAAATTGGTAGTCACTACTGAAATAATGTAATAGTTGAAATAGTTAGATCATATTAAATTGGGTCATCTTTGGACATTTATATAAATGAGAATAAACTTGTTTGCTGAGCAGCTAATAAATCAAATGCAGTGGACCACTATTAAAGGGTTTGCAAAAACTATGCACTTCTTTTTAAAAGAATTCCAGAAGCCATTTATGCATTTAATGTGACACAAATTTTAAATTTTATTGACCTAACTGCAGATGAATAGGTAAGTTTAAATATAGGTGTAACCAATCATATTTTCTTGCTCTACAATTTGTGAGACACACAGAGAACTAATATAAACTAAGTTAGATCAATGTTAGATAGATAAATAAAGGTTATAGAATTGCATCTGCCTTTTTTCTTCACTTCTTGATTTGCTGCTGATCAATATTTTATATTTCTTTGAAAAACTCCAGTGTTCTTTCATAAATTTGCCCTCAACTTAATGTATATGTGTATGTTCAGGTGATTAGAATGGTTTGCAATATTGTTCTGAAGCTTACAGTCAAGAGTATTATTCAAGGCAATGACTTCAGTTAGGATCCAGAGAGTGGTATATCTGATTCTGAAACCTGTACCCTCTCCACTGAATCATGCTGCCTCATCGTTTTGTAATGGCTTTTAGGGGAATTGAACTTACTCTGCTCTGCCTTTCTCCTAGGCTTTGTTTCTGAGGAGAGAGATGCAAGCAGAATTACGGAAGACTGTTAGGGCAGATAAACTGATTGTAATATTTGATAAAGAAACGATGGATCAGAATTTATGGTCTTGCTCTTACAAGTTTGCTACTACCTATTTTTTTTTTTGAATCTTTGCTTTCTAACAAGTAGCCTCTACTATGACACTCACAACTTTGTTTCTTTCCATACAAAGACTCTTCATCATACTTATTAAAGTTTGTTTTATTAGTATTATTATGCTTTAAAGTTATGCAGTTCTTTTTTCTTTCCCTGTAAGTTGCTACATTCTATGAAAGTCCAAGAAGGAAATATACTGGGAAAGCTTGTTAAGGGAATAAGAGAATAGCCATTTAAATTCAATTAGCTGATGATAGTATCTAGAAAGTTTACTGGGTATACTTTTCAAAGATATTTGACCAGGAACCAGTTTTCAAAGGTACAAAAATTCTAGTTATCTTTAGAAAACACCAGGGCAGCTAACCCAGGGTGGGATACAGTGTTACTGCTACAACTTCACCAGGCCACGGGTAATACAATAAAAATTAAATCTCTTTCCCTGAAAATGGATACAATTTGCAAAAGTTCTTACTCAACTCTTTATATAAAACATATATTAATTACCATTTTCTTTCATTAAGAAGAAAGTAAAGGCCTCAACATAGTACAATAGCAATTAATTCTAGCAATGAAAATGTTTAAATTCATGACTCTACCCTGTTTTTATAATCTTTAGAGTATTGTCATACAGAATATTTTTCAGCCTGAAAATATTACTGAATGAGTGTTTCTGCCATGGGATGATGTATTGAACTCATTTCTGCAGCCTTAACAACAACGCCTAGCACTGAGAGTTGTATATCTCATCAAGAATCCCCTTTCAACAATCCCATGTAGCACTTGCTCCAATTATCGTAATCGATAATGTCATAAAGTGAATAATTCCAAAAGTCAAGATGGCTTTTTGACATATCAATGTCCAAAACATATCAATAGCTCAACAGTAAATATTTATTGAATATGTACTCTATGTTAGAAGAGTACATCAGCATTATCTAAGATAAATACTGTAAAAAACAAAAACAGGGTGTGGTATAAAATACACACGTTTGAAACTACCCCAGACCTACTAGGCAAACTTGTGGAATCATATCCCAGCATAGCTTTCAATCTTTGTCTTCTGAATTCAGAAATTTTACTGCATTTTTCTCTCCTTCATTCGTGAAATAGGGATAGAAGCAATCCTTCTCCTCATATGCATTGTAAAGCTCACAGTGTAGAAGTCAAAGGTTAGCTTTGTTACTATCGTGTTCTTCAAAAGCATCATCATGATCATCATCAACAATCTTATGTTTCACAAGTACTGGAAATCTTAATATCACTTTGCTTCTAACAAATTCTTTTCTCTTTATTTTTACACAAATTAAAATGAAGCATTTTCTTTTTAAAAACCAATTCATTACATTGTATGGATGTTTATTTCTATTACAAATATCAACATATATATCAGAAACAATCCATTCAAATAACAGAGTAATACATGAAGGAAGTATAGTCCTTAGAACATAGAAAACTCTGGAGGAAATTACTGAGATATTATTTGTACTTAAAAACATATAAATCAAATTTCTGAAAGGCATAGATAATATTGAAATTTATTATTTAATATTTGTAAAAACTTAAACTCATACATTTTGGTAAAACTACATATATTTTTTATGAATAATACAGGAATCTATGTGGAAATTTCCATATCTACTTCCTCAGATTCCCTGTGAGGCAAGAATCAGTACACTATTAAACAATTCATTCACTCAAACTAATGAACCTTCATTTCTCAGGACAATTGGAACACTGTCAGGTGGCTTATTTTAAAATAATCATAAAAGTACTCAGTAGGTTTAGAAATAATTAAAATGACTGTATTGTTCCTATGTTACAGTATAATGGGTTGTTAGAGGAGCCCAGAGGATTAGAGATTGATATTGGAAGACTTTAATTAGTTTTTTCAAATTGGAAAAAATGTACATGTATAAAAATTTATTTTTCTGTTAAAATATTGTTTGTGATGTATAGCTTATAACGTATTTCAATACAATTATTTGAGATTGTGAAAAATTAAAGATCTTACCTTATATTAAATTACAAAAACTCCTTTCTCAAATTATTTTGTGTATGAAATACTATATACAGAATTAATTTGAATCAATTTAGTACACTAATGATGTCATTTTGATTTTGAAATAGTTTTCTTCTCATTCCTCTGAATCAAATAAATTCAATATTGAGTACACCATTAAATGCAATAAACCCAACATGAACTCCTTCTAAATATTTGGGAATGGATTTCACATAAATTTATTATATAAATGATGAGGCCTTTGTGAATCAGGAATTGTTCCTGACGCTGTATACCACCATGCAGAAGACATATAACAGATGATCACAGAAACATGTAATGGAGGACACCAGGCAGGATATAGGAAAATATAGCAGGGATATCTTAGTTGTCAGGTGATACAAGAATTGTAGTGATACTACAGAATTTAAACTTTTAAGAATGTTTAATAAAACAATGATTCTGAATATTCTTTTTAAAACTTCTTTATTTTAAAATAATGTTAAAGTTACAGAATACTAGAAATGGTAAGAGAGTTTCAAATATGTTTCACTCAGCTTTCCTTAATGTTAAAATTTTACATAACTATAATAATATATATAACTATAATAAGCAAAATGAAGAAAGTAACATTGGTACAATTCTATCAACTGAACTGCAGAGTTTATTCAGATTTACCAGTTTTTCACTAATGGATATTTCCAGGATTCAAGCCAGGATTCTGCACTGCATTTAGTTGTCATGGCTCCTTAGTTTCCTTCAGTAGGTAAGAGTTACTCAGTCTTACCTTACATTTCATGAGGAAACATTTTTCAATAATGTTCAGGTGGTTTTTAGATTGTTGCTTAAATTGAGTTTCTTTGAATTTCTCATGATTACACAGAAGATAAGGATTTGGAGGAAAGATATCAGAGAGGTGAAATGCCATCCTCATCACATATGGAGGACACATGATGTCAATATGTGTTATCACAGGTGATGCTGATCTTGATCACTTGATTATGGCAGTATCTACCGATGTTCTGCAGTGTAAATTTACCACTTTCCCCTTTTCATACTCAATTCATTAGAGGTGAATTTCTATATTCAACCCACACTCAGGAAGGGACTTCAGCTCCATCTCTTGGAGGGAGAATAATCTGAGAAGTTTGCACGTATGTTAAAATCGCCATAGTAATTACAGACTATATCCGAAAGTATGCTGTAGGTTATGCAAATATTTTATTTCTCTTTAGAATTTTAGTCAGTAATTTTAGAAGTCATCAGTGGATCTTGCCTATTGCAATTATTGCTGTAATTCTACAATCCTGATCTATTTCTCTCAATACTTACACATTCATGTATTGAATTTTTTTCTGTAAAGAAGAGTTGTCCCTTCTCCACCACTTATTTATTTACTCATGGATATTTATTTTATTTCTTGGATTATAATGAATGCCATTTTTGAACATGATTTTATACACTTTTATATTATTTGTATTTGCTTTCTTTGGACAGCAAGATTGGTTATATTCCATTACTATTTCTGAAAATACTTCTTATATGTACTTTTAATTAGCTTTTTTCTGCTGTTATCTAATTAGTAACAAATACTGAAAGAAAACTGCAATTAATTTTTCAAAGGAACTATAAATATGTAATTGCTATTTATTATATCCATTATGGTTAATACATATGATAAAAGTATATATAAAACATTCATAATCAAATAATCAAATATCAGTCTCACTATTTTCTTTAAAAATCAATCTTCAAATATTGGGGTATCTTTCTCCCTTGAAAACTTCAGCTAATAGAATTTTAATGGAATATCTTATCATATAATAATCCTGATATTGATCACTTAAAATCTAATAAAATGGAAAATTTTAAAATCTAGAATAAATTTTGGTATTTGTTACTTTGCATTGTAATTTTATCTTGCTGTTTTGTCTAATATATTCATTCAATCCTGAGGTAATATTAGTTGTTAAATAAATGAAAGTTGGTAAAAAGTTAGATAATCACTCAAAAATAAGGAGAATGTATATTGAAATGCAGGATGGTATACAGCATGTTCTAGTGACATTTATTACTCTTGCAGCTAAAAGTGAGTTCTGGCTCATGTAATTCAAAACATTTATGGCACATTCTTTCATTCCCCATCCTGCCACATCACACTCTCCCCTACTTCCTCCTAAAATTCTTCAGTGTCTATGGCCAATATTGTAGTAGAGATTGACAAACAAAAAGTGAATACATGGATAAATAACTATTCCTTCTCCTTTTCCAGAATTATTTCAAAATATCATATCTAATAATTGAAAAGAAGATTTGGAACCTATAAGGAGTAGAATATAGCATTCTGAAAGAAAATATCAAATATTTATTTTCCTTGAAAGCTTGATAATGTCTTTGTGTTTACAAACTAAGGTAAGTTTGGGGAGAACAGTTGACTGAGGATTATATCTTACTCATTTCATAATATCAAGTACGGTGAAAATTTGAAATGAACGTGTATATCATTTATAACATTGCAGCCTTTAATGTTTTAAATTAGTGTCAAAATTACAGACAATGAACATGCATATTGTCTCTTCTAACAGGTTATCTCTTGAAAAGGCTTTCTAAAGCTTAAAATACTTTGGACTTGGAGTTTTTATATTAGAGTTCTATGACTTGGATTTTTGGGGGCTTGGTTGTCATTCTATATGAAAGATACTTATTCTGAATCCAGCACTCACAGATAGGCTGTCTGTTCCCCAGAGTTAGGAAGCCCTAGTCCAGCGTGTGGTTAGAGCTTATCAGTTTTATTACTATGTCCTATGGGAAAATGTACATTTTCTTATTTATAGGAAAGACAGTAAAATGCTCTTGATTTTAGAGAAATCAGTTCTCATATAAACATGTACAGATAAGATTCTCTCTCAGGCATAATTTGTCTAAAATAATAACCACAACATTTGTGTGAAAATTTTTTGTAACAGCTTTCATGAATAATCCAGTAATACTTTGTTTTGTGAGCCCCCAGCTAAATTGGGGTTCTGGTGTCCGAGCAGCTAGCAACCCTTCCCTAAGGAAAATGAAAAGGGACTCGATGTGAGTGCTTACAGTGTGCCTTTCACAGGGTACTGCTTTGATCTGGCACCCAGCCTAACATGCAGTTATACAACCCATGACCGGGGACCCCTCACATGGCAAACTTGTTTATCCTGGCAGATGCCCCTGTGGCTCTTGACTGACCCATGTTCGGCTTATGTCTGCCTGACCATTGCTCTGAAGCTGAGAGTCTGACGCTGTGTTACTCCTAGCATCCTGGCGATATCTCAGCCTGGGGCATCCCCTAGTTCTTTAGATGGATGCCACAAATTTGATGCACCGGCACAACAGGAAACAAGTTCAAAGATTTTACTTTCAGATTCTGGGCAAGGAGGGTCCAGTGAGTCACAAAGGCAGTACTTGGTATCTAGGTCATATGAGGCAGGAATGAGGAGTCAGTAGGGAGAGAGTAGAGCATGTGGCAATTGGCAGTATAGAGAAGGGAACAGAGTGTGGGTCACTTGAAGAGTCTAGGCAAATGCCTGAATGGTCAGCTTAAAGGAAGCTGTGGGAAAGCAAGGAGCCCAGTCAACTAGACCAGAGAGATACTTGTAAGTTCTTAAGTCTGCCCACTGGCTTGAGATATTTGAGTGAGGCATAGAATTAAAAACTGTGTCAAGAGAGACTGAGCTCTGCTTGAGGTACAACAAAGACAAACCTGTTTTCAAAATGAATGCTGAAACAACATAAAATTATAAGAATCTACTACATGCTTGTATCAAATGCATATAAAATTCAAAAAGATACATGTGAAACAAAGTTTACATGAAAGAACAACCAAATTCAAGAGGATCCCATTGATATTTGTCTGTGGATGATATTTGCTTGAACGTATACATGACTAGTGGTAATTTATTTGGCTTGAGGTATTTTTAAGTACTCCAAAACTTAAAGAAAGAAAGAAACCCCGTAAAATGGGAGAAAATTAGAAGTTCAATTTCCATTACATTTTAGACAGTATGGTAAAATAATACCCTATTAAATTATTAAATTTTGAGGTAAATTATTTAAATATTTCTGAAATAATTTTAAATGTATAGAGTTTTAAAAATTGTCTTTGACCATGTACTCCTTGAAAACTAATAAAAGTTATAGGCTCCTTCTCCAAAAAAAATGCTGTTCATAACCGGATATTCACACACAATAACATGTACAATTTTAGACATTAGCTCATCCTTTGAACCCCACTCATGGAATCATAGCTTTTCGTATCTTCTAGGTTATACCATTTTGTTTTAAAGGAATGAAGATAACAAAATACTAGAGAAAGTGAACAGATAATGAGGAAGAAGAAAATAATAAAAGTTCTGACACTAGTGTTTGAAATACCATATTCACAGAAAATATGACTTTACTAGGATTTTGAGACCTATAAAATCCTTTCTTTAATAAAGTCTATACCTAATATTATACCCTGGAAAGAAAAGAATGTGAAAAGAAATTGACAGGACACTATCATTGGAAGAGTGTTACATTCCCCAGGTACTTCACTGACATATAATAATGTGAAGTCAATATAAAGTCTTAAAATCAGATGAGAACTGTTGATTTCAAGGAAGGGATGAACTTGACTGAAAAGCTATCACTGAAAACTAAGAAAAAAAATAATAATAAACACTTCAGTCACAAAAGACAGGACAGGAGACAATGTGTTTAATTATTTTCTGAATTGACTCTTTGTCGGTGTTATTAATTCATATGTATCTCTTGATGATCCAAGCTTTTGTATTAATAACACTATGGATCAATGTATATGCTCTATCTGACATTTAATAACAAGACATAACATAACAAAAATACAAATAATACCTCAATGAGATTTCTTCATTTATCATTTTTTAAAAAAAATTATTAACCTCATAATAATTCATAGTCTTCAAAAGTCCAAAGAAATGTTAATAATGTAGAAACAAAACCAAGTCAGGCTAAAAAGAAAATAATTTATTTCCAGAGAAATAAGCATAAAATAAGCAAAATCACAAAATATCAGTAACAGTAAAATAATTACAAATAAGGTGCTAAGATATTCCTTTTGTATAACAATTCAATTTTAGATGACCTCAATATACATTTTAGTTTGACTCTTCTTAGAATTATAGAGATGTATAAGAGATAAATATGAAAATGATTTACTGCTTTCTCATTCAGGTAAGTATACAAACCAAAGCTTTAGCTCTATAATTTAAATAATTCTAGCTGTGCATTTCTTATTTTCATCTTCTTGAAGATCTAAAAATACACTTTTCACACAGAATTTTTCTTTATGGATTGCCTAGAGAGACAATCTGTTGATCTCCACAGGCCTATTCCTAGCTACTCTTTTTAAAGAAAGTAATAGAGTAGCTGTTTGAATGACCTCTTTATTATTTGTTTAAATTTTATTTCTTCCTCATACATTTGACTAACTTTTACATTTTTATTTTTTCTCCACTGATTGATAGAACCAACTTGATCCCCTCCAGAGGCCACCAAAGCTAATTCCTGACTCAACAGCACCCTGATTTTGCTTTAGTGCTGTCCAATTAGCAGAAAAATCACCAAATTATGATGTATTGAAACACAATTCAGAAAACGACTAATTCACTCAAAGCAGATTTGACAAAAGAAAATTTCCTGAATCAATGATTCTCCAAATAAACATTCACTGAATTATTGAGATATTTTCTAGAGCTTTTGGTTTGCCGTAGCTGCAGCTGCTCTGCAACAGCCTTTGCAAGGTTTATTAGCCCAGCTTGGTTGATTTTCAGATTTGTGTGTTCTACATGTGGGAAAGCTCCAGGTTGATATGTGAAGAGTGGATTTTAAGACACTTGTTTCTGCTCTCTTATTCTTTGCTCTTACACCTTCTCTGCATTAACTTTGCTTGTGCGACACCATCTCTCCAGTGGCCAGGTTTTCCCCTGCTCCCATATGTCTGTATTATCGGGATTCTCCAGAGAAACAGAAATATGTATATATACACATATATGTATGTACACATGAACATATATATAATTTTATATATTATTATATATAATTTTATATGTAATCTTTATAAATAATTTTTACATATTTCCATATATAAATATATAATTATATGTATATGTGTGTGCATATATATATATATATATATATACATGAAGTCAAAGAGGCTGAGAAGTCCCAAGATCTGCAGTTGGCAAACTGGAGGCCAGAGAAGGAGTGTCGACAATGTAAGTTCCCATTTGAGTCTGAAGGCAAGAGAAGACCATGGTCTTAACTGGAAGTTGGTCAGGCAGAAAGAGTAAATCTCTATTACTCAACAATTTGTTCTATCAGGCCTTTAACAGATTGAATGGGGCCCACTCACATAGGAAGGAAGCAATCTTCTTTATTCAGTCTGCAATTTAAACATTAATCTCATCCAGAAACACCCTCATAGACACACTGAGAATATTTCCCCAAATATCTGGGCACCTCGTGGTCCAGTCACATAGACACATAGAATTAACCATCACAATGTCTTTCTGCTCCTGCCTGCAAGCTTTAATACACTGAACAGAAACTGAACGAGGATAGAAAATTTGTTGGGAGAGTGAGTAACCTTGAAAAGTAAAGAATATTTAAGATCATATAGGCTTTTCTGTAAGATTCTTTCATGTTCTTTCCTCACAGCATCAGAGGAAGAATATTTAAGATGATATAGGCTTTTCTCTAAGATTCTTTCATGTTCTTTCCTCATAGCATCAGAGGTTACAAAAATCTGACAAGTAGCCTTCTGAATCTAGAAATAAGTCATCAGTAGAAAGAAGTGCCTCTCTACATCTTGGGGAGAAGGGTTTATTTCAGTCTACTTTGGAAGCAGAAGTTATTAAACATAATGAATGCTTAAGAAAGTTCTCTGGAACATTGCAAAGAAATAAAAGAATATAGGCTGGTCACAGTGGCTCAATGCCTGTAATCCCAGCACTTTGGGAGGCCAAGGTGGGCAGATCACGAGGTCAGGAGTTCAAGACCAGCCTGCCCAACATAGTGAAACTCCATCTCTACTAAAAATGCAAAAAATTAGCCGGGCATGGTGGCGGACACCTGTAATCCCAGCTACTCAGAAGGCTGAGGCAGGAGAATCGCTTGAACCTGGGAGGCGGAGGTTGCAGTGAGCTGAGATGACACCATTGCACTCGAACCCAGGCTATAGTGTGACACTCTGTATAAAAAAAGAAAAGAATAGAATAAAATATCCAATAAGTCCAGAACACCAGCATGATCCTGTTGCCTGCCAAGTAGCTTTTTAAGCCACCTGGCTACATCTTTCTGCAGTACTTCCTTCTTTAGCAAGGACAGCATCCTCACCCCATCTTGTATAGACAAAAATAAAAATGGTATATGTCAACAGAGGGGTCACTGAAAATTTATTATTTACTAGAAATTTAAATACCATAAGCATTCCCATATACATGATTTTTATTCATGGATCATCCACAAATCTTGACTCTAAGGATTGCTATATATAACCTAAGCTTAGAATAAAATGAATAAATGTCAGTAGAGTGTTCATCAAACATTTTCTCCATCATTATCAAAATAAT
Source organism: Homo sapiens (assembly GCF_000001405.40). Taxonomy (NCBI): domain Eukaryota; kingdom Metazoa; phylum Chordata; class Mammalia; order Primates; family Hominidae; genus Homo; species Homo sapiens. Next base: position 65,822,474 of record NC_000006.12, on the reverse strand, counting down.
TAATTATGGGCCACAACCAAAATATATTTAGAATTATTTGATATCTGACAGAATAATGCCAATGACAAAAATGCAATATGAGCAGGAATTTTATCAAATTTTTATTTTTTATTTTTATTATTTATTTTTATGAGTACATAGTAGGTGTCTATACATATGAGATACATGAGATATTTTGATACATGCATACAATGTGTAATAATTACATCAGGATAAATGGAGTACCTATCACCTCAAGCATTTATCCTTTCTTTCTGTTAAAGACAATCCAATTATATTCTTAATTATTTAAAAATGTACAATAAAATTAGCCAGGTGTGGTGGTGGGCACCTGTAATCCCAGCTACTTGGGAGGCTGAGGCAGGAGAATCACTGGAACCTGGGAGGCAGAGGTTGCCGTGAGCCCAGATCATGTCATTGCACTCCAGACTGGATGACAAGAGTGAAACTCTGTCTCAAAAAAAAAATACAAAACAAAACAACAACAACAACAACAACAAATTACTGTTGATTATAGTCACCCTCTTGTGCTATCAAATACTGTATCGTATTCATTTTATCTAAGTATATTTTTGTATCCATTAACCATTTAACCATCCCCACTTCCCCCCACTCCCACTACGCTTCTCAGCCTCTGGTAACCATCCTACTCTCTATCTCCATGAGTTCAATTGTTCAAATTTTTAGCACCCACAAATAAGTGAGACTATGTGAAGTTCATCTTTCTGTGCCTGGCTTATTTTACTTAACATAATGACCTCTAGCTCCATCCATGTTTTTGCAAATGACTGAATCTCATCCTTTTTAATGGCTGAATAGTACTCCATTGGTATATGTACCACATTTTCCTTATCCATTTGTCTGTTGATGGACTCAGGTTACTTCCAAATCTTGACTATTGTTAACAATGCTGCAGTAAACATGTGAGTTCAGATATCTCTTTAATATACTAGTTTTCTTTGTTTTGAGTATATCCCTAGCAGTAGGATTACTGGATCATATGTGATATGGTTTGATCTGTGTGCCCTACCCAAATCTCTTGTTGAATTTTAATCCTCAATGTTGGAATAGGACCTGGTAGGAGGTGATTGGATCATGGGGGCAGTTTCTTATGATTTAGCCTCTTGGTGCAGTTGTGGCAATAGTGAATTCTCGTGAGATCTGGTAGTTTAAAAGTATGTGGCACCTCCCCCTTCTCTCTCTTTCTCCTATTACAGCCATGTGAACTGTCTTGCTCCCGCTTTGCCCTCGGTCATGATTGGGTGCTTTCTGAGGCCTCCCCAGAAACAGAAGCTGCTATGCTTCCTGTACAGCCTGCAAAACTGTGAACCAATTAAATCTCTTTTCTTTATAAATTTCCTAGGCTTGGGTATTTCTTATAGCAAGAATAAACTAATACAATAGGGTAGTTCTATTTTTAGTTTTTTGAGGAATCTCCAAACTCTTCTCTATAGTGGTTGTACTAATTGACATCCCCACCAACAGCGTAAGAGGGTTACTTTTTCTCCACACTCTCTCTAGCATTTGTTATTGCCTGTATTTTGGATAAAAGCCATTTTAACAGGAGTGAGATGATATCTCATTAGTTTCTAGTTATTTTTCTATGATAGTCAATGATGTTGAGCACTTTCTTATACACTTGTTTGCCATCTGTATGTCTTCTTTTGAGAAGTGGCTATTCAGATCATTTGCCCATTTTTAAAGCAGATTATTGGATACTTTCCTATAGAATTGTTTGAGCTCCTCATATATTTTGGATATTAATCCCTTGTCCAATGTATAGTTTGCAAATATTTTCTCCCATTTTGTGGGTTGTTTCTTCTCTTTGCTGAATGATTTCTTTGCTGTGCAGAAGCTTTTTAACTTGATGTGATCCCATTTGTCCATTTTGCTTTGGTTGTCTGTGTTTGTGGGGTATTATCAATAAATTGTTGCCCAATCCAATGTCCTGAAGAGCTTCCCCAATGTTTTCTTGTAGTACTTTCATAGTTTGAGGTCTTATACTTAAGTTTTTAATCCATTTTGATTTGATTTTTGTATATGGCGAGAGGTAGGGGACTAACTTCATTTTTCTGCATATGGATATCCAGTTTTCCCAGCACTGTTTATTGAAAAGACTGCATTTCCGCAGTATATGTTGGGGGACCTTTGTTGAAAATGTGTTCACTGTAGATGTATGGATTTGCTTCTGGGTTCTATATTCTATTTCATTGGTCCATGTGTCTGTTTTTATGGCAGCACCATGCTATTTGGTGAAGAAAGTCATTGATACCAAGTTTTTAAATAGCAACAAGATCTAGCCTTTTACTTCCTAACCTTGCCTCACTCATCTCATCATAATGCTCGTTCTAAATTAAACTATTAAACACACTACAAATAAAATATAGATAATAATAGAGCATTCCTAATTATGCTATTTTTAACAAATGACATAATCTATTTAAAGCCATCCAGTACACAATAGATTTCAAAAATATTAGGTATTGTTGCTGTTTCTGTTGTTGTTTTATATTATTCCCAATCACACCTAAATTTGTCTATACTCAATCTTGCATATTTGAAATTTTCAAACTTTCTCCTATGGACCTCATTGATGGAAGCAATACATACTTTGGGTAGGTAAATATGTATTAAAGGTCAAACCCCATATTTATTCTATAAAAGTATCTTAACAAATAGTTGCTGAATGAGTAAATGAAAGGGTAAAATAATTTTTTGTGGAAAGCCATAGTCTGCCAATCCCTGTAAAAAGTGAAATTTCTAAGCATCTGTTTTCTTAATTTCTGGGAGACAATTTTTGGTGAATGTCTTGTGAGTCTGTATGTCTTCCATGCACAGGCATTTTAACCTGTGCATGAAAGACATACAGATTCAGGGCTATGTTTTCAAGTATGCTTGTATAGCATGCAATCTCGGAAATTGGATAATGTCTCCCTCCAGTGAAGAAGATAAATTTGTTTGTTCACCAGGACAAGATTCAAGAAGGTTTGCATGCAGCCACTTTAAAGGATTAGGGTGTTGCTAGCTAAGGTTTCCTCACGGTGATGGATATTCACCGCTTGGGCAGCATTTTTCTGAGTCCTGAGTCACTCTGTGCTCTGCATTACTCTTTGAGACATGGGGAATAAGGAGAACCAAAGCAAACATAAAATGCATGCTGCCTGCTATGTCATGATGAGTAAGGTCCTTTGTCTCCAACCTGAGAGTCTCATATCTTCTGCCAGTGTTTATGAAACTGTGGCAGCCTAAGTCATTACACTGTAACCAGGGTAAAATCTCAGACCTAAGTTTTTGACATTGGTAAACATTTTATATAGTAAATCATGAAGGAGATGAATTTTAAAAGTGTGTACTTTGATTTACAGGTGTTTTCAACATGAATATTGACTTTCAAAGTTAATGACATCTGGAGTTTCAGCTGAGGAGGAAAAATATTTCCATGTATTCAGTCATTCAATTCATATTTTTATACCTTATAGGCCAAGCATGTTACTAGCGTCTTAGAACACTATATTACTTAGAATAGCTAAAAATAAGCCGTGCTTAATAAATTTTAACCCCAAAATATCAGCGATTAACAAATATGTAGCCTCATTCTACATATTTACAAAGGAACCCAGATTAATAAACATTCTGTTATCTCACACACACGTACCCCATGGTGGTCGTTCCACGGTAAAACAAGATTATTTGCTGATTCAGCTCAGAAATTAAAAGTATCATTTAGATATTATAGTCCAGAAACAGTCACATGGCTACACTTTACCACATAAGCTCTATAATCTTGTATGTGTCCAGAAAGGAGGAATAGAAAATAAGCTTTGGTACACCCACAACATTGTACCATAGATTGAATGAAAAAAAGATGTGCTTCTTGCATTAAAATTATAATAGATTTAATGAGGAACCCAAAGTAAAAACCAGGAAAACAAAAAAGGTAAATATAATAAATAATAACAAATTTTGTAATAGCCGTACTCCCTGAAAATGTATAATCCAACTCAGTGTGGGGTTAGAGATATCTTCTCATTACAGGAGGCATCTAAAATGAGACACACAAGATCACCATATATTAACTAGGAGAAAGAGAATGTGGTAGATTCTTAAAGCCTCATTAATAATATGTTTCACTGTTCTAGCATCTCATGCAACTAACTAACTGATCAGGTATGCCTAGCCTTGATAACTTCCATTTCCATCCTCTAATAAAGAAGACACACATATCAAACAACACAAGTCCAAGATTAAAGAAGTTGTTATTTGTAAAATATATATGCTTAGAGACACATGGAAATCACTGGACAAATTGAGTATTTTCAGACTGATTGGCATAGTTTCGATCTGGAACAGGATATTTGTTATTATTCCTAAGAGGTACATCCGCCAAGCCTGAGGAACAATTTCCTTGTAGAATTTATGTCAATATTTATTCATAACAAGTTTAAATTCACAACTAAACCCAGCATTTATAAAAGCAAATCATATCTCTACTTAGAGAGTGGTTGGGGTCCTAATCATAGCTGTGTAATAATGGTTGATGGGGATTGTCTCTGAATGTGGATCTGCCAGCTTTACCCTTCTGGAAGTATGAGAGATGAAAACAGTAACATCAAAGTTCTTCCATTTAGCTTAGGACTCAGTGACACAAACTTCTGTCTTTTGTTTCTTTGAGTAGTTTTTAGCACAAATAATCTGAGGATAAAGTAGAAAAAAATAAGTACAAGTTAAAGAATCTATCATTTAAAAAGTTAGCCATAAATAAAAACAAATTGATCTGAAGCTAAAATCAATCTAAATATTAATGTTAAACCATTATTTTCCGTTTCTTATTCGATCTTTTAAAAGTATTAAAGTCATTTAAAATGAAAAGGCCACTTTTTAAGAATAATTTGCAAAACAGCAGTTTTGTGTCAGTTTCTTTTATAAAAAGAGGTAATTTTAAAATAATCTTCTTTTAACTAGTCTATCCTAGTTTCCATGGTGTCTACTGGGGCAAAGTGACATGCCAATTCAAAATTGACTTCTAAAGGGCTAAATAAAGAAATGTTCCAAATGAACAATGAGAATTGCTTAGTAAATGATAATTGCTAATGACATTGAACAAACAGGTTAATTGACATTGGGAATTTGAGACATTTTGTGTGTCATTTTCTGATAAAGGTGATAATATTCCTCATTTTTTCCTTAACAGTATTCACTATCCTGCCATATGGGAGGCAATTTTCCTAGTCTGAATCTCTCCTTCTGTGCACTGAGCTCATTTTCATATCAGATAACTCTGAATGAAGACAGAGGTCCATGCCAAACAGTAATGAAAGAAAGATCTACTACTCCTCTGGGCGGGGGAAAAAAAGAGAGGGAACATTTATGGCTGTTGGATTTATTCCTAGTGTTCAACATAGGCTGCCTATTTGATATCACAACACTCAAATTGATAGCAAAAATTTAGAAACTTACACGTAATGTGAGCTCTCCCTGTACCCCAAGTTGCTCCTCTTCTAGTCTTTTCTGTTCAGATAACAGTTCATCTGCTTGTACCCAACTGCTCAAGCCACAAAACCAGGAGTCACTATTGAAGACACTTAACTCAATTTTAACACCCATCAACTTTCACCAAATTCTATTAATTTACCTCTCAATATATTTCAAATCTAACTTTCTTAATCTCTCTGCACCCTAGTAAATCTCTTCTGTAGATTATCACCGAACAGTCATGCATGGTTTAACAATGGAGATGTATTCTGAGAAATGTGTAGTGAAGTGGTTTCATCATTGTGCAAACATCATAGATTGGGTGTAACAAACCTAGATGGTATATCCTGCTACACACCTAGGCTAGACAGTATAGGCTAGATACTATAGCCTATTGCTCCTATGCTACAAATCTGTTACTGTCTTGAACACTGTTGACAAATGCAATGCAAATGTAAGTATTTGCATATCTAAAAATAGAAAAGATATGGTAAAAACACGGTATAAAAGATTAAATAAAATGGTCCACTTTTATAGGGGAGTCTCCATCATAATCTTATGGAACCACTGTCTTTTATGCAGGTCCTCATTAACTGAAATGTTGTTATGTGGCACATGACTGTATGTTTTAAATAAAGCTGGGCTTCTCTTTGTGTCACTCAGAAGGATAGTGTAAAATGCAAATACAGCTGGCTTCCAAAAATCTGTTTGGGATTTCTTTTGCATTTAAGAAAATATAGAAAATCTATAACCTGTTTTCCAAGGTTCTGCATCATTTGCTTTTAATCTTCATTTCTAAGCTTGTTTCTTGTCTCTTTCATTAGTTATTGAACACTCTTTCCCTCTTTCTTTGTCTGCCTAAGTCTATGAAACCAAATGTAATTTTTTGCAGTGAGATCTTCTCTAACCTTTCCCTTTTATTATATTTATCTGAAAATTCAATTTTTAATATAAAATTTACTAAACATTAATAATTATGAATTTGATTTTCTATTTTTAAAATTAAATATCATTTTCCCCACTAGGTTATAAGCCATACATGGACAGGAACGATATTTAATTCATTGAACACCTTATATCTGTAGTCTATTCAGAAATTAGAAAAAAAATTTAGAATAAATGAGCAACAACTTTTAAGTTTTATTTTGTTTTTGTATTGTATAACTGCAATCAAGATAAAGAAAGCTGTGCATCCAATCTATGACTTTATACCTACGTTTTCTTTTCTTTTCTTTTTTTTCTTTTTCTGAGATGGAGTTTCACTCTATTGCCCAGGCTGGAGTGCAATGGCATGATCTGGGCTCACTGCAACCTCTGCCTCCTGGGTTCAAGTCATTGTCATGCCTCAGCCTCCTGAGTAGCTGGGATTACAGGAGTGTGCCACCACACATGGCTAATTTTTGTTTTTTTAGTGGAGACGGGGTTTCACCATGTTGGCCAGGCTGGTCTCGAACTGCTGACCTCAGGTGATCTGCCTACCTCAGCCTCCCAAAGTGCTGGGAATACAGGCGTGAGGCACCATGCTCGGCTATACCTGCGTTTTTTATTAATATTTATCCTTGAGTTACAAACCTATTTAAGTTCAGTATCCCCTTTACTTAATGAACAGACTTTCATGATCACTTTATTCAATCAAAGAAATCGCTATAGTTGTTTGGTCAGAAGCCATTTATTTATTTTTAATGTTTTTGATAGATAATTCATTTACATAGCTTCAAAGTTTTTATTTTGCACAATGAAAATTCTCCCTCTCATGCTTGGCTCCCAGACAGTTTTCTTCCAGTTGACAACTCGTCTTACTGGTTTGTGGTAGTTGTATTGCAGATATTCTATATGGTTACATGAAAAATTGTTTATAATGCCTCCCCTTCTTTCTTTTTCAAATTTTAGCTCATGAATATTCATTCTATACCTTGACAATGTATCATGGAGGTGGTTCTAACTAAACAAGATGGCTACTTTTGTACACTGAAAAATCTACTGTGTAAAATAGTATTTCCTAATAGCTGTATTAAATATCCTATTCTGTGATTTTAAAACATGTCCTGCTATTGTATTATCAGTAAAAGTGCTGTAAGAAATAACTATAAGAAGCCCCTGTAGGAAAATGTTTAGAAAAATAAACTGAGAACAGAGAAATGAGCTCCTATATTTAGATGAGGGTTCAAGACAGGTAATGGTAGTTGTAGACCAGGAAAGAAAATGTAGAAATAAAGCAAACTGGATGTGAAAGGAGACTTGACCTAAGTTGAGCAGGATTGAAAATATCAGGAAATTTTAAAGGTGAGCCGGACTTCAGCCTTCTGTATATGTGCCTATATGTGCATCTGTGAACTTCTATATGTGTAAGGAAGGTAGAATACACTATACCTAACATACATAGTTCATGGATTAAAATTCAACTTATAATGAATAGAGTATTGTTTCTTTTTATTAAAAATGAATCTTAAAATATGTTTTTAGTAGAAGCTCAAACAATCACTCCATGTGACATCTTAAATTAGCTAATGAATATTTTCTGAATATATTATTACAAATATATAAATTGCTGGTTCGGGGCAAAATGTGAAACCTCAGACACTAATTTAACCTTGGAATAAGAACAGTTAGGTAAAACTCTAATGCCTTCTGGTGCAGCGACTGAGCTGGTACGGTGATTTAACTTGATTGAACAAATTCATCTCTTACAGATGGCAGAATTGAAACTGCTTGAAGTCATTTGGGCTGACAGTATTGAGATAGAAAATATCCTTGAATTTCTATTGTGGAAAATGTGCTGTACACAGAAGTAGCTTTCAAAGCCATTCAATGAAAAGAAGTTGCTCAGTCAAATTCAGGCAGAGTCTATTCCTTTCAAAGTAAAGTACCTATACAAAATTAAGGTCATGATCTACAGAATCAGTCTATGTCAGTACTGATTTGAGACAGCTAGACCTGCTCTAGAGAAGTGGTCTGACTTGGTGATTTGAAACAGGGGAATGGAAGATGGCCGTTCAGGAATCAAGCCTCTGCTGGGGACTTTTATCCTCAGTAGAGGCTTCTTTCAGAGCAATTCGTAGTTTAAAGTGACATAATATGGACCTTAATCACTCTTTCAAATGAAGGTGATTTCCTTAGGTAATTCTAGTTTACCTGCAAGCTGAAACAGCATTCCTAAGCCAAAGCACTAAACTTCTATAAGTGTAACATTTAAAGTTTAGTCTTCAAATTCATAACTATGGTGTGTCTGTAGTGTATCTGAAATTACCATTTTGTTATCTACTTTTATTCTTTGTTACTTTGATATTCTTCTATGGACTAATGTAGGCTTTACTTAATTAGCAATACTGAAAAAGGATTAACACTTTGAATCAAAGCATGAGTAGAAAGATTGTAATTCAGGCTTAGGGTAAGGAGCCACCATAAACTAATAGGAATACCTGTTGATGTCCTACTACACAATCTAAAAGTTCTAATTCCATTTCTAGTGCTATATTCAGTGCCTTACAGCCAAAATGTACATGTAAAATTACTGTGTAAATTAGAAGTTATCATACAACACCTATCATTATTATTACCCTGAGATATCTCATATAAAATTATTACTCAATTACCACTTAAATCCTGGAGATCTTTAATTTACTATTTTCAGTTCATTCAGATCACTACATCACACCCCAGTACCGTATAACACATATGATCAACTGCCTGCTGGGTGTTCCATAGGTAGTTTTATTAAACACATTCAGTTTTGAGTATATGAAATTTCCCCCTAAATCTGGCCCTCCTCCTTTATCCTCTCCCCAACAATTCAGTTGCCTAAGGCAGAGTGATACCCTTGTCTTCTCAGCTTTTACTTATCACTGACATCCAAAACTATTGTCAATAACTATGGATTCTACCTCTGAAGTATCTTTCATAATCGTCTACTTGCATCATCTTATTATTTCATCTCAGCACATCTTCCTTTTTCATCTGGATTACTACAATAGCATTCTACCTGATGTCCTTTTCTACACATGTCTTCCAAACCTTTTTCCTAAATAGAAAGTGATTTTCTATTACCGAACTGTGAATTTGTCATAATGTATCATTTCAATAACGCTTCTTGCCTTACTTGGTTTTATCTCAAAAGCAGAACCTCAAACAAGGATTTACATTTGGGAGGTGATCCCAGAAAACAAATACAGAAGACTGGGGAATAAAGGCAAGGAAGGGAGGTAACCTAAAAAAGAATCTGTTAACAAGTCTGTTGCCTTTGCATGCAACTGAAGCTTTCATTCTCCTAGGAAACTGAAAGATAATGTAGAAAATGCCTTGGAGGTTTTTTCAACTGAGCAGTGAAAACACCTAGTGTTTTAATTATGTATGACTGTGTAATAACCCATTAAAAATGTAGAAGTAGAGACTTAAAACAACTTTATTTTCTTCTGTGATATTTTTCAGTCAACTGGACTCGATTGGATGATTCCTCAGCTTTATATAATTTCCCCTATTGGTTAGGGAAATTTTCAAAGCCAGGCTAGATTTAAGGACAGGACCTCATAAGTGTGAGTATTCTGGGAGATCTGCATTATTGGCGGTGGGGCCAGGGCAGGGCAAGGTATCAATGTAGCACACCAAACAGATTTGATAACAGATTGGATTATCTTTTAATCAAATTTCCATTCATCCAATTTGATAGCTGTTTCTGAGGAAATTAACCTTAGGAACTCAGATTTTCCTGGACAATGGAATAACTTTGTCCTAAGATCAGTAAAGAATAACAAACGCCCCTCAGAAAAGAGTTAAAGGTTTTTGCAGTATACCCATTTAGTGTGTAGAGAAAAATGCTGTGTGAATATGGGCAACCTACTGATACAATCTACAATAAAGCTTAAAACATTTTTAACATGCCTTACAAACTCATTCATGATGTTTTTACCTTTATAGATTTTTCTCAATATGTTGATGAATTGAACCATTGACCACTGTCTTTTCCATGAACTGCTTCTATTTATTTTTATTTTGCTTTTATAGTTACACAAGTTATAAGTCTACAAAAAATTCAACCTGCCTTATAATGGAAAGCAGTAATCTCTGCCTCACTCCTCCTCACTCCTATTTCTATTCACTACCAACAATTATTTTCAAATCATTTGGCTATGTGTAAATTTTTTTCATTACATTTTAAAATAATTAAAGTGTACTGTTGTTGATTTTTACATTATAGATATCACTCACTAACTTCTTCTTCCCCTCACCTCACTTGCCCTTCCCTTTCTATTTAATTTTTGGGTTAAAAATATCCAGTACTTAACATTATTAAAGTTATATAGGCCGAGCGCAGTGGCTCACTCCTGTAATCCCAGCACTTTGGGAAGCCAAGGCAGGTGGATCACTTGAGGTCAGCAGTTCGAGACCAGCCTGGCCAACACGGTAAAACCCCATCTCTACTAAAAATACAAAAACTAGCCAGGTGGGATGGCATGTGCCTGTAATCCCAGCTGCTCTGGAGGCTGAGGAAGGAGAATTGCTTGAACCTGGGAGGAGGAGGCTTCAGTGAGCCAAGATTGTGCCATTGCACTCCAGCCTGGGTGACAAAGCGAGAATCCATCTCAAAAAAAAAAAGTTATGTAAATAACACTAGCAGTTATGTAGTATATTATTTTATTTATTTTTTAAATAAAATCTTGATTTTTTTTGCCCGAAATGAACAAGCATTTTATTTATTCATTTGGTTATTTTTCAATGTACCTATGAATAATGCATCTCCTTGAAATACACTCAAATAAATCAGATCATGTACAGTTTTATCTTCTTCTTGAAAGTGTCCCTTCTGCAGCTCTTTGTTTTCTTGCTCCAATCCTGGCTATGTCATCTACCAGACCATGGCACAGATCTCATCTGTGGACTTTTCGTCAGCCTCAATTATCCAGAAAATTTCTTTTGTCTAATTTCTGAGATGGATCCACTATATCATGCATCACAGATCTTCCTCTGTATTCAAATGTCTCCCTTGTTTTGGTGGAACACAAGCCACAGCCTCCAGTCATGCAATAGAATATTAGTTTCTAATAATTTGTATGCCTGGAAATGTCCTCCAAATCTCACCCATGATTAATAGTTTATCTGGGTATAATTCTATGTAGAAATAATTTTATTTGAATTTTGAAGCTATTTTTACTATTGTCAGATGATAATATCCAAAAATTAAAATATCTTTGTTTTATTTTAGTTTTTGGATGACAGTATCCAACAACTAAAACTTTTTTTTCTTTTTTTTAAGAAACTCTTTCTGAAGTCAATGGCTTTATTTTTGGTTATTGTGGCTGGGTCATTTCAGTATTATAAGCTTTTTCTTTGGTCCTAGTCAGTTTTCCCAAAGAGTAACCTGACAAATTCCTGCATAGGATGCAGAAGCCCAATTTCTAGTGTTCTTAGAGTCTAATTGGAGAAATAATTAATATTATTATGCCACTTAATAAATAGACTTTTATTTAATCCATCTTTAATATAGTACCTATGCTTCCTTCTGCTGAACCTAGATTTTCTGAGTCCCAAATTAATCTGTTACATTAGGTTGAAAGAGAGAAAATTGTCCAAATTTTCAGGCTGGGAAGAGGATCAGGTTGTCTAACTGTTTTGTATAGAGAAATTTAACTAAGGCACCTGTTTTCTACCTTAACTGAACTACTACTCTCAGAGAAAATTTCTGACCCTTTCTGAAGTATATTGTTTAAATCCGTTTGGAATTTCTCTCAACTGTTAGTTTAAATTTTATGTTTTTGATTTCTGTTTAGTCTAGTACTACACTTCTATCTTTATAGTTTTACAACACATTTTCCTTTTGCTGCATTCTTTCTCCCCATGGTTTTATTTTTAACTTAACAATAGTAAAAGTTCAGTGTGTGAAAAAAATATATATATATATATTTCAAAATATTTCACGCTTAACTGCAACCACACTATTCATTCATAAAATGTGTTATATGATAATTTATATGACGACCTTCAGGTTCACTCCCTTTATCTCCATGACTGGACTAGTAGGTGTCCTCCTACAGGACATCTTATCAGACGATAACAGCCACCTGATTACTTTTCTGTATCCTCGGCTTACTGCAAGCCCTTTGAGAATGCAGATAATGTCTTCCTTCCCATTATATCCTTAGAGTATGTCACAGTGTCTATCATAACATAGCATTCAATAAGTACTTGTTAATTACTGAGTGATTATACTATGATATATTGACCCTCCACATTCTTATCATTGTGCTCTTGAGTCTATTTATTAAGACTAGAGCTATTCTTATCTGAACTATCTTGAAATGCAATCAAACCATTTATATTTTCATTGTATTCCTTAATTTTTGCCCTTTATTGTCAAGAATTCAAATGTCAGCCGGGCGCAGTGGCTCACCCCTGTAATTCCAGCACTTTAGAAGGCCGAGGCGGGTGGATCACGAGGTCAGAAGTTCAATACCAGCCTGGCCAAGATAGAGAAACCCCGTCTCTACTAAAAACTACAAAAATTAGCCAGGCACGGTGATAGGTGCCTGTAATCCCAGCTACTCGGGAGGCTGAGGCAGGAGAATCGCTTGAACCCAGGTGGCAGAGATTGCAGTGAGACAAGATCACGCCACTGCACTCCAGCTAGGTTACAGAGTGAGACTCCATCTCAAAAAAACAAAACAAAACAAAACCAAAAAGAATTCAAAAGTTAACAGACACAAATTAGTCACTGCTTGTTTAGTTAAAATACCTAAAAAAGAAATTGCCCTCTTGGAGTTGAATTTTAATAAGGAAAATCGGACAAATACGTAAGTGGTGATAATACCATTCATTTGTTATTCCAATTTTTCATTTATTCAACAGACAAGGCTGGGTGTGGTGGCTTACGCCTATAATCCCAACACTTTGAGAGGCTGAGGCAGGAAGATCATTTGAGTCAATAGTTTGAGACCAGCCTCAGCAACATAGTGAGACTCATCTATGCAGAAAAAATTAAAAATCAGCCGAGTGTGGTGGCACATGCCTATAGTCCTAGCTACTCAGGAGGCTGAGGTGGGAGGATCACTTGAATCCAGGAGTTCACAGCTGCAGTAGAGCTATGATTGTGCTGCCGCACACCAGCTCAGATGACAGAGCAAGGTCTTATTTCAAACAAAGAAACAAACCAAATATAAATAAATAAATATTGAAGAATTACTCTATGCCTAGCCTAGCATAGTTTTAAGTACTGGGCATACAGGGGTAAACAAAACATACAAAAATTATCTTCATGCAATTTATGTGTGGCAGAGGTAAAAAGAAAGGAAATAAATATATAGTTACTCAAATGGTGATAAGTCTGCTAGATAATTGTATAGCATGTAAGGGTATAGCGTATGCAGGGGGTGGCTTACTATTTTCTGTAGGGTGGTCTTCGAAGGTCTCATTCTTAGGAGACATTGAGCAGGAGCTGAAAGAAGAAAAGTAATGAGTTGTGTCGACGTGAGAGGGATGAGAATTGTCCTCATTGAGAATGCATGTGCAAAGGTGAGCTTGGAACTGTTCACCCTGTTTTATGAATAGTGAGAAGTCCTCTGGCTAGACAGCAGGAGCAATGGGGTGACTAAATGATGAGCAGCTCATATAGGGAATGGAGCCTGATTATATAGGTCCTTACAGGCCATTTAAAATTTTTACCTTTGTGTTCACTGAAATAAGAAGACTTTAGATAATTTTGAGTAGAATTACAACAATATCTATTTGAAGCTATGAAGAAATGATTCTTTCCTCAATGGTGGAAGCTTGAAAGAGGGGAGTGACATAGCTGTGGGAAAGGCACAGAGCCCTGCTCAACACAAAGGGGAAAAGGTTTTAAGCCACTTGGGAGAACAGCAAATGTTATCACATCCAGGATACAGGTAAATTTAGGTTTTAAATATGGGCAAATTGGCTAATGCAAGTTGATAACCATCATCTTTAAAATCCTGAGCTTTGGCCTCCATGGCATTATTTACCTATCTTAAATTCCCAGCTTTCTTGAGCCCAGTGCCTTATATTCATGGAAGCTTTGAGACAAAGTTTGCTGATTTCTACGACATAGGAAACATTTGAAATTTTAATGGTGATGGCAGAATATCTGTCACTTACCTTGGACATATGTGATATATTAAGTTTTCCAGATACTCATTCTAGGGGAGAAAAAAAGATACTCATCAAAATTGTCATAAAATAGTAGACAGCCTACAATCTTAAGGCTGTCATGGTCTATTAAGTACAGCAAACATGCATGGGAAATACTGCATTAGTTTCCCACAAATGAAATATTTTATTAACCCCTCTTTTCTTCTCCTGGCTAAAAAAGTCAAAATTGTTCTTACTTACCTCCTTATTTATTCTTACTCAAACTTCAAATCTTTCGGTTATTTTTGCAATGTCTCTCCTTACTCCTAGCTATTACACAGGTTATAAAATCCAGAACCCTGTTCCAGACAGGTTTTAACAGTACTTGTAAGTGTGGTAAAATGATTATATTATTATTAAGTTCCAGAACTTTGAATAATGTGAAAGAGACTATGTGTGTTTTACATTTTGCTATATTAACTAACTTTTAGTTTGTGCTATTTTATTGATACCCACTGTTTTCTCATTCTTACAATGAACTAAAGGAGTGAATATGAATATACCTAATAGTGATAGGGACCAAACCATATTGTCTGGTTCTTGTGATATTTTTGAGACAATAGGTATTTTTTTAATTCCTTGTTTTGCTATATTTACCAAGCTACCTATTGCTACAAATAGGTGCATACAAAGCGAATGGTTAATTCTCTTTCACTTAATAGGTGTAATTTGTGTAATTAACTGTGGTTTAAAACACGTAATAATCATCTCATCATTTTCTTAGTGCTATTGTCTCTGTGTGCACCCACTGATCTTAACAAGCCACAAGAATCGCAGCATTATGCCCTCGGTACAGTTCTACATTACCCTGCCCACTATAGGCCTATTATATTTGCAACATAAATAAAATTGTTCCATACAGAAAAGAACTCTCTAGAATAATAATAATTTAACATAGAAATGCCTGATGTAAAACAATGACACAGAGCAGCATTCATGTGTTTACTTTGAAGTCAGTAATTCATGAGACTGCAGTATCCAAATGGATGCCCTTGCTTTATGACTTGCCCACTACAGCCAACTTGGTATCCAGGCCAATTTAGCTAATCTGGGTTTAGCCAGATTCAAATAAAGTGAATGGTGTGTTCAATTTCCATACGGGATACTTAACTGTTTCAAGAAAAAGACTTCAACATCCATAAGTGGCAATATAATTGTGGCCATTTCATAGATGTATGTATATGGTCACAAAGGAATGAGATAAAATACAAGATTTACAACACAAAGTTATTGCATCATTTCTATGTGGTAAGCTCCATTCTAAATTACAGGGGGAAAAAGCTTATGTATTTGTTATAGTAACCATTGGAGGTAGGTAATATCATTATTCCTTTTTCATAGATGAGGAAATGGAGGAACAGAGAAGTTAAATCAACTATCTGAAGTTATAAGACTAGTAAGCTGTACAGCTGGGATTTTAACCCTGGAATTTGACTTAGATAATGTAACATATGACACTAGCATATACCCAAGTAGTGATGTCCATAAATCTTTTTTATGAAGACAAGGATATAACTGGCCTTGAAGAACCTTTGTCTCCACTCTTCCAAGTTGGCATTTTAATTACTCACGGACGTCTCATTTAAAATACGTTAATAATTTTTAAAATATATATTTTTAATATTGCCCTTTGGAAAATGCATGAGAGCTACTATGTGCTAAAATTATGTGATCAATTTTAATTTTATATGTCTAAAGAAAATTGACTATAATTTGAAATTGCTAGTTCTACAGGACTGAGTCACCTAAAATATGATAAAAGCAGTAAGTAAGGCATACATTGAATAGATACCAAGACTTTCCTAAAAAGCCTGATGTTAGGCTGGTTGGCAAAGAATATGGATCAGCGAATATTTAATACACACTAGTGACGATTCACTTAATAACACAATTGGATATTTTTAGAGTGATGGGAAGATGTCCATTGATACTTCATAAAGAAATCATGGGTCATCACAGGCTATACTTTAAAAAAGAGTTTAAGCATTCACAAACATATGTAAACATGTATAGCTAGCTAGCTAGATAGATATAGATAGATAGAAAGACGTATAGATAGATAGATAGATAGATAGATAGATAGATAGATAGATGAAGGCTAAATCATTTGAAATGTAAGTCAAACTGCTTCAGCTAGTTTAAGCAAAGAAGATTGTGTAGTTTTGTATCTTAAAATAATGTAAAGTCAGGAATAGATCTAACCTTTTTATGCATGTGTTAGAGAGTGAAGCACTGATGACCCTTGGTTCTAAACACTTATTTCTAGAATGTTTGTATAGTGAACAGCCTTGGAAAATGGAGATAGTGTCTCCCTCTAGAACAAGGATAAGGCATGCTTAGGACCATCATAAAATATTTGTTATTATTAAACTTGGAGTTCCTGTTCTGTAATGCCACCTACTTGTTTACAGATATAATCTGGTATTCTTCCTATCACCATAGGGGAATTAGGACTTTGAGAAAACATGCAAAAATGATGACTCTGTGACCACTGCTATTGCTCTGAGTAACAAATGGCCCTTTGTCTCTAATCCAGGAGTCTTGTATATCATAGCAGCATTCACAAAACTGTGGCAGGCAACTCGTCAGCTTGCAAATTTGGTAAAATATCAGACATCACAGTTATTTGCATTGAATACTAAAGAGGTTTATTTCATCCAGATTCAAATATCCAAAATGTTTCTTGTCCTTCTCTTCAAGGTTTCATTCATATTTCACATTCTTAGTATGGCACACACTTCCTTTAAATTTGAAATTTTCTGTTTCTCTTCAGAATCTCCTACCTTGTTTCCTGATTATTTTTTTCATAACACTTCTCTCTCTCCATATATATACACGTGTGTGTGCATGCACACACAAACATATATATACATATTTTAATTTTTATCTGCATCTTCTCACAAAAATATGAACTCCCTGAGGATAACAATTTTCTTTATCTTTATTAGTGACTGCTATGTTCCTAGTGTACCAAGAACATTATCTGTAACATAGTGGGTACTAAAAACTGTTTAGTGAATAAACAAGTGATTTCACTATATAAAATCTCGGAGAGTTATTGACATACATGCTATTCTCAGCCCAATCATCTTGCTCAGATAATTTGAAAAATATAATTATACCAGTCTAGATTACCTATCCCCTGCCATGCTCAGGAAGACAGGTGCTATTACTGCAAGAAAGGTGGAGATGAAGCCTAGAGGTAAAACCTATAAAAACAAATAAGAAATAAGCAAGCAAACAAACAAACAATAATTATAATAATAATATAGTAGCTCTCTGGTTGTCCCTTTGGAATTGAATTCCATAGAGTTTTTATATATTTCCAAAATATATCCAGGCATCTCACATAAAATAGCCCCACATAAAACCCCCACATAAAACTGCAAATAGTAGTCTTCCTTTCCCAAGGGACATGCTCATGCTTAACTACTGTATACAGCTATGAGTAGAGAACTTGCGAATAAAGAACCTCCTGTTTAATCAAACTTAGGTGTGTCACTTTGTGATACGTCTAATTAATCTGAACACAGCTGCCTAATCTACAAATAAAAGTACAAACTTTATTTTTTCTTTTTTTTAATATTATTAGGATGTTTATTCTCCCCACAGTGAAATATACACCAAAAACATTACAATCAACCTTGACACATAATTTTTGTAACAATAGGCAATTTGATTCTTAAATTTACGCAACAATACAAAAGCAATAGAGAACCAAGATTATTTTTAATAAGAATGGCAAAACAGACTACTTACACTACCTGATTTCAAAACATAATAAAGTTACTGTAATGAAGATGATATCAATAGCAAAGACTTGGAACCAACCCAAATGTCCAACAATGATAGACTGGATTAAGAAAATGTGGCACATATACACCATGGAATATTATGCAGCCACAAAAAATGATGAGTTCATGTCCTTTGTAGGGACATGGATGAAGCTGGAAACCATCATTCTCAGCAAACTATCACAAGGACAAAAAACCATACACCGCATGTTCTCAATCATAAGTGGGAATTAAACAATGAGAACACATGGTCACAGGAAGGGGAACATCACACACCGGGGCTTGTTGTGAGGTGCGGGGAGAGGGGAGGGATAGCATTAGGAGATATGCCTAATGTTAAAGGACGAGTTACGGGGTGCAGCACACCAACATGGCACATGTATACATATGTAACTAACCTGCACATTGTGCACATGTACCCTAAAACTTAAAGTATAATAAAAAAAAAAAAGAAAAGCTACTCTTTTCCCATTAATTTACTTGGACAACATTGTCAAAAATCAAATGACTATACTGTATATGTCTATTTTTGAACTCACTATTCTATTTCATTTACCTATAATGTCTATTCTTACATCAAACTTTACTTTTTCTAAAATGACAAAAGTTTCATAAACCAGTATTGGTCATTTCATGTGAACTGTAAAGACCATTTCTTGGAAAAATTGCAAACAAGAACTTATCCAGATGTTCAGCATTTTGTCCAAATATTATCAGCCAATCAGCATCACTCTGAGACTTTGTTTTATAAACATGGGATAGAGACTGTTTTTTTGTTTCTGCTTTTAAAGAACACACTCTGTTTCCATTCTTTACCCTCATCTCATATATCCTAACCTGGGTTTTCTACTTAACAGTAAAACTTTTCCCCAGCATTCTATCTTTGGACCCATAATTTTTGTCTTCTCTTGACATGGCAAACTATTTAACAAATGACAAAAATTTCCACCACAGAACAAAATGCAATCATAATCATCATAAAATTTTTATTAAAAAATAGGGAAATAGGAAGCAATATAATAGGCAGAAAAAATATTCCATACACTGTCAGTCAGAGATGTGATAGTGCATCCATTTTTTAATCATGTTCCTGGAGGTGGAGAGAGCTATAGGCTGAAAAGTTTCTTTTAGCTGTGTTTTCCTAGCTTGAGTGTTATTTTAGGTACTGTCCATATGACACTAAACTGGACAACAGATTCTTATTTTGAAAGTAATATCATATAGATATCTATGTTCCCATGAACCAGTTTTAAGCACAAAGGTGATGTGTTATGTATTGAGAAATATTGGACTCATTTTGGCCGGAATTGAGGTTTCTCAATACCTGTCCCTTAACACTTAAATGACCATATGTCATTTTCAATCTGGAGGGCTCCACTGCCAAACATTCAGTATTAGACTTCTCGCTGAGACAGCAATGCTTGAGTCTGGATGCTAAACTTGTGATTTTCTTCTTTCCCATCAACCACACATCTTTCTAATCAACAGTTTCTGTCTTGGTTTCTACCATAGACTAACATGAAACAACATACTCCCTTGGAAAAACAGTATTAATTGGCTTTATGTCCCCCAGGATACTTCCAAGTGGATTTTATTTATTGGAAGAATAATTCACAAGGGAATAGCTTAAGAATAAGTCTGGAAGAACTAGGTTTCCCCATATCCCTCTGGCTTTCCCAAATATCACTATTTCTAGTCTCCCCACTTGTCAGCTATCTAGAAGCATTGACCAGAGGCAAAATAACCTTTATTAGAAAAGTGATATAATTCCCTCTCTCTTTTTTTGCTTTCAAATGGCCTCGTTAAGTTGAAGCCTGTTGTATTCTTGTACATTGCTTCGCTCACAAAAGGTAGCAGACAAAATTCAATCACCATTTTTCTACTAAGTTTTCCAAATGTAATTCTTTTTAAGAAATGATGTGTAAGAATGACATGAATAAATCTATGAGGCTACAAAAGAAAATAAAATATAAACTGAAGGAATGGCGAGAATATATTCCTGGATGTGGAGATTTAATATTATAAAAGCATCTATTGTCACCATAGTAGTTTATAAATTCAACACAGAAAACCTTGTAAATAACTTGTCAAGCTGACTCTGAAATTTAGCCAAGAGAAATTATTAAGAATATTTTTAAAAGTGAAAAAGAAGAATGGTGGAGAAATGATCATAACAAATATTTGTATAAATATGTATAAACATGTCTATCAAGTACAAAAATACAGTACTTAAAACAATTGGTATCAGCTGAAGGCAGGGCAAAGATAAAACAGACAATTGAAAAACAAAACCAACCTGAGCATATATGATATTTAATATATTACAAGTTTGTCATTTTGAAGATATAGAACATTCTGTTTAACAAACTATATTAGGATGATTGTCTACACACATGGACTAAATAAAATTTGAGTTCCATATTATATATAAATAATATAATTCTAGATGCTCTAAAGACTTAAAAATAAAACATCATTAACATAGTGTAAATAAGAGAGGAAAAGATTAAAGCACCGAGCAGTCATTGGTTTGAATCTCTTGCAGAGGAAAGACAGAGGAAACTTATCTTTCTAGCTCAGGATCTGGCAACTCTCAGGGCCTTAACCCAAGAAGTTTCACATTTTGTGGTGTGTGTCTTGCAATATTGCTCAGGCTTTTTCACCACTGAAAAAGAGAATGGAAATGGTATTAAGAATAACAGACTCCAGGGACACAAATGTTGGAAATCTCTCTTTTTCTGTCTCTAACTCTGCCTATCCCTTTTGGTCAACATCATTTTCCACTACTGTGGGTTCTTTTCTCTTTATTACAGGGTCCATAAAAATATTCAAGATCCATATACCATAGTGATCCTAGATGATGAAGGATTATTTTTCTACGTTTTGGTATATAAAATGCTAGGGAAGGACTCAGATTAGCCTACTTCTGTTGCATTGTTCATATTTAACTTATAATCGAGACTAGGTATATGGGATGTGTATCACTTAACTGTAAACCAAATAATGCTGCATAAAGAACCAACCATAACATCTCAATACACCAGCATTTATTAAGCTCACAAGTCCAAAGGATAGCTCATCTGGTCTAGTCAGCTCAGCTCTGCTCCACACATCTGTCATCCTCCTTCTAGCTTAGACATGATCTTCTCATGGTGATGGCAGAGTCACAAGATGGCAAGAAGAAACATGCAAGGCTTCTTTGGGTCTAGGATTCTATCTAGCACACTGTCTATTCTACTTCATTTTATTCATCAAAGCAATTCACATGACTAAATCCAAAGTTAACTGAAATGATAGTAAATATACTGCACTTCTTTAAGTTCCTTCTTGTAAAGGAACTAAAGTATCACATAGCAAAGAGTATGAATCCAGAAGGAGTAAAGAATTGCAGCCAGTAATGGAAGTGAATCCAAGAAACAGTGAATAGTTCCACTGACATTTATGCTTACTCCCATGGTCTTAAAACAAGAGCCTGTTGTCAGAAGACAGAAAATGGGGGAGTTTGATAGAGCTAATGCTAACTTGACCACATACAAAATCACATATGTAAACTAGTTTTACAGACAGGTTTAATGGCATAAATTTGAAATCCTTTAAAGAAGAGAGGTACTTTCATTGTTAAAGTGTATAGATGTCCACAACTCCTTCATTCTCAGTAACCTCTTCTTTCTTCTAGACCTTAGTGTACTCTGCATATTAGAAATGAGTAAACAGCAAACCCATACCTTGCTGTTATCAGAGGGAATATTGAGCAGTATTACAGAGAAAGTGCGACAGAGTTCATATTTCTATTCAACTAACTGAAACTGGAAGTTACTTTTTCACCAAGTAGCATAAACTCTTCTGCTGCTACAGGGATTGCAGAGAATACACATGAACAAAAGATAGAATCTGTGGAAAGCTATATTATCATAAAAGTGAAAAACAATGGGTTGTTCACCAATTATTATTAGTTTTAGACTTTTTACTGGGTAGAAGCTCTAACAATACGTAGCATTGTTAGTAGAATAAATTTTAATAAACTGTGGCCTGTTTCTATGTGTCACAAATTATAGATAATTTTAATAAAATATGTAAAGCAATATAGAGATAATATTATTTTAAAATATTAATGCAGGCCTAATACAAGGAAATGATCTCCACTACAGAACTATAAAGGGACAAAAATGTATCAACATACCATATGAAAAATACAGAAAAATAAGTGTCATATGTCCTTAATGAAAATTAATATCACTTTATAAGTTTTCAAAGTTATTATTAGCTTTAAACACATAGTTTCTTTTTTTTTACATTTCAAAATATTCAAGTTAAGGAGGAGTTCTTTCATTTATTGTTATTGATAGATGTCTGGCCTGTTAGAAACAAAATACTGGTTAACAGTACAGACTTTTCATTCAGACACCTTGGTGTATTAACCTAGTACTCAACTACATGCTGTCTGTGTGCTGGAGCTCTAAAAGGAATAATCTTCCCCTGTGACCAGTGTTTGCAAGAGGTCAGGAGGTTAGACACATAATTACTGGGGTTATGTGGAGGTGGAGTAACAGGGTGGATGATGAATGGGCAATTAAAATATATTATCCAACTTACATTAAACACTATCAACCCATTACTTTCTGTTAAATTCCTCTATTTTAGGTCCTTCATGCCACTTACTAATATTACTATTTACTTATTCTATTTATTTTTAATGCCTACTAATTATAAGCCTTATGATGAGGGGAAATATAAGCTATGTTTCCTGCTGTATCCCCAGAGTACAGAATAGTGTAGGATCATAGTACACAATCAATGTATGTTTGTTAAATCAATTTGTTATCTACTATTCAATCAGGTAATGAACAAAGAAACTTAGAAGAGAACAGGAAATTTGGAACCTTGTTATCTTACATTCTAATTATGTCTGTGTGTGTGTGTGTGTGTACATGTGTGTGTGTAAATTTATACATGCTAATATGTCTGTATGAATTAAAGTCCCACTATTCTCTCTTTTTAACATTTCTTTTGTGGATATCATGTAAACTTGGCCTATGTCAATAACTAATCATGACCTGCAAACATTACTGTTGACTCAAAAATGATTCAATTCTCGCAGGAAGTAATTTACACATTAAGAGAACTGACTATCTTAGGAGGTCATTTTTACAATTAATGTAAAACTGTCCTTGATCATACAGATCGATGAGCCCCATTTGCCTCCATCTGTAGGCTTTACCATGTGTATTATTGCCTTTGATGCATTGATTGAAGAGGAAAGAGTTAATGTAGCTCCAAAAATGCACTATACATTCTGATCCAAGATATTAAGGATGTTTTAGATTCCACCAGGGAAAACACTAAAACATAAATAGAAATGAATTATGGTGTTATTTAATTAACTGGGAAGTTCAATGTGCACTAGAGACAATTTATTACAATAAATAGAGCATCCTATCCTTGCAGTGCATTGTAATGAATATAAATCAAGGATTTTTTTTTTCCTCAAAGAAAAACATTCACCAATTTCCTATAAACTGTACCTAAGGGCCTCATTAAATTAATACTTCACTAGAATGCTTCATTATTTTGCAGACATTATATTATGGGGCATCTCTACCACATTCAACATCATTCATCACTGGTTTCTCAGTGAAACACTCCTCTTTTAACTCACATGAGATCTGTGCTCTCCTGGTTCTCCTCATAACTTTCTATAATTGCTCCTGTTCAGTCTTCCTCATAGCTTCTTCCAATAATTATCTCTTAACTGTTGAGGGTTCCCAGAGTTTTCTTCACGCCACAATTTTCTCTAAGCACAGCATACTGAAAAAGTACTTATCATTTCTCCTAAAATTAATCTCAACTTCAATAATTAACCTTTCATTTGGTGGCATGATCATTCAGTCTGTTATTCAAGCTAGAATACTTGAGTTCACTCTATCTCATCCCTCTCCCTTTTTGCCACATCCATTTAATCCAGACTTCTGTTCTCTTTGTCTCTACAATGTATTTCAAGTCTATCTTCTCCATCTCAATCCTACCATGGATCCAATGAACACATTCGTTTATCTCATTTGAATTGCCTCCACAGTCCTCCAGCCAATTTTGCTCCATCCCCACACCGCCTGAGAATTTCAATTCAAATTCATCTTTTGCAGTTGTTTTTAAAATATCTGGAAAAAGATGGAGTAAAGATTGTGATATTAAGTAACCCTGTCATATTTGTGCTGAATTTTTGCCTATTCGTTGCATATTCTCATGCCAAACTCACAGTATACAAAAACTACCAACATCTGGGATAGTAAATGATATTTGAAATAAATTGCTTTACCACATATCTAGAGAATAACAATCAACAGGATACATAATACAGATAAATAATATATGACTGTTACAATGCTCAGTTCTTCCTATGAAACTGATTCTTTTTAAATTGTCTGAAAGAATATTTTTTCATCATGCCACTCACTTATTCAAAAAATTTTAATTATTTGAATTAAATTATTATTTATAATAATTAAATTTTAATTATTTGAATTAAATTATTGCTTTTAATGTCATGTGTAAACTAGTTAATTATTTAAAGCATTGTTATTTTATCTCACTGTATCTTTTAAATTGTGGCCTCTACTACTTGTAGCCTCAAACTCTGATTTAATCAATTTTTTAAAAAAATTTCAAAATATTGTGCACAATTTTGACTTTGCACTTCTCTTTTAATAACATTTGTTTGTCACCACCATTCAACTTCATCGTCCAAACCTATAAATCTTTCAAGGCCTAACTGAAGTCCAACCACTTTCCCTGAAGTCATTCCAGAACTATTTAGTTCCTTGAGTTATTGCCATTCTCAGAGAATTATTGCCTGAAATTTTAATTTGTTAATTAATTGTATATGGTGCAATCTTTCTAACTCTTTAATATTTTTAATTTTAATATTTTATTTATGCTCGATGTTACTACATTTTGTTTCTGAGAGCAAATACTCTGTTTCATAGCTATTTATAACTTATTGGATGTCTTCCATGATCTACAATGGCCTTGAATTTTATTTTAAAGATAAGGATTTAATCATCATATTATTATACTAATGTACTTGTCTCCTCAGATTTTATTTTTGTCCAATAATACAACAGAGTTTAAAAATATTTATAGATCATGTAAAAAGTACTTAAATAGAAATTATGAAAATAAAGTTGTACAGATTCTCTACATCTTGTATTTATTTTTAAAAATGTAACTTTTTTGAGGTAGAATACATTATATCAAAATGATTTTACACAATCATGCTAATTTTTAATTTTTATTTTATTTTATCTCAGTAAATAATTTGAAAATGATTATGAAATACTATTAAGTTTATCCACCACTGTTGAAATAGTATAAAGTGTGCCAACTTGCTACATAAATACAACTTGAAACTTTTATTCTAGAGGCAGGCACAGTCAACTGATCTGCATATAACAATACAACCAGCAAATGAAATAGACAAAATGGAGTATCACAAATCAATTTTTCAAGCTTCTACCAAAATAGCTGAAATGGCCTCCTCATAAATTAATTAAGAACTAAGGTAAGATGCTTAATAGAATGTAAAACCTTAGATATAATTTTAATTTTCAGAGGTTCAGAATGCACAGAAATTTTTTTCTTCATTTTTAATAGTCTCGGGTAGTTGGAGAATTGCAGAATGAAAACAGTAGGCAAACAGTAGTAGAAATATTCTTTTCCATTTTTATGGTTGTAATGAGTTATAATATAGGCTTTTTTGAGCTTATTAAATGTCCCCGTAGGATCCTGGCCACTTTCATTTGGAATACAATAGAATGCTTGCACTTGAGCTACATATCTTTTGAAATTAGCAGAATACAAAGCAGCCCTAATATTCAGACTGTCCTGTCAGTAATTTCTATTGAGATTATTGTCTTAGTACATTTAGGAATCTGGCTGACAAGAGGCATTTAATGAAACTTTTTATGACACACCATTCTTTTTTGTTAAATGAACACAAAGAGATCTAGACATAGCACTGTTACAGAGAGTAATTTATAAATTTTTCAATTATTAAAATGCTTTTTTCTAAATGGGTTTCAGAACTATCAAACATTTTACCTTCAAAACTACAAACATTATAAGTAAAGAAGTACCATTTTTCTTACATTGGCAGGTCACTAATAATTTTTGAACCTAAATTTTGAGCATTCCTAGAATCTTTTAAAGTCAAGAAAATTGTTGAAATGACTATGTTGTAAAAATTATATAAATACACTCTAAAAAGCAATCCAAATATTCGGATACAAGGTGGCATATATTACAGGGAAATACATATAATAAAATAACAATAAAACTGAGTGGATACTAAAAGCAGAGGTATTTGAATTAAAATATAATTCATTTCCTAAAATATAGGTTATTTGTTGATAATCTGATACTGATAATTCTATAGAATTAAATTCATAGATTAGAAATTTGTACCAATTAAAGATGACGTTTTCTAATGTATTAGGAACCAACCTGATAATTTCTTGCTTGTAACATTATTACTCTCCATGAAGATAAGATCACCAGTAGTGAGAGTTAGGAGTCACTTCAGATAACTAGAACTTAACCACTCTTTATTGCAATTCAATTTGACTTGAGAAAGGCAAATTATAACTAGAGTTTCTTATATCAACATATATAATGTATCAAACTTTGAATAAAAATATAATTATCAAAGCAAATATAATGAAATCACAGGAAAGAACAACAGCATGTATTTCTGAATCAATTTTGTGTCCTAGGTCCCTTTGAAAAATTAATGAAAGATATGGACCCTCTATTTAGAAAAAGTAGATATTCACTTAAACAAAAATATAAGTTACAAAAGTTTAATCAATCCCATAATACCTGGCCATGGACTCAAAGAGGTCCATGAAGACCAAAGTTATTATTCTGTGTTGATCTAATGCAAGTTTGAAACACTAGATAGAATGCAGCAGTTTGATGTAAAATAAAAACAAAAATTATAAACATACTGCTTTAAATCATTTGAATATGAGTTGAAAAGGGGAAAATAAAGAAGAAAGGAACAAAAAATTAAAGAGAAAGGAAAAGGAGATTAAGGCATTCCCACTTCTCTGATAAAAATTCAACCTCTAACATCACTTCTTAAAGCAGGCATCCCCAATCCCTGAGCCATGGACCACCAGTACTGGTCCCTAGCTTGTTAGGAACTCAGATGCATACCAGAAGATGAGTGGCCAGTGAGCCAGTATTACTGCCTGAGCTCCACCTTCTGTCAGATCAGCAGCAGCGATCACAATAGGAATGAAAACTCTATTGTGAACTGCCCGTGTGAAGGATCTAGGTGGCACACTTCTTGTGAGAATCTAACTAATGCCCGATGATCTGAAGCGGAACAGTTTCATTCCAAAACTATCCCTTTCATTCCCATTCGTGGAAAAACTGTCTTCCATGAAATCAGTCCCAGTCCAAAAGGCTGGGCACCGCTGTCCTAAAGTATAATTATAATAAAGAGAGACAGGCACAGTACACACAGTTGTGCCAACTGATCAAACGATATGTGAAAATTATAATTCATTATCGAAGTTTTGCTTTGATCCCTTTAGTCATGCATACACTTGAATGGCGTGTGCATCTAAAAAAGTTGTGATTGAAGACAAAAAAAAAGAGTTCCTTTTCCGGACCTTATTTTTTTTAATTGAGTTTACATTTAGAGTAGTTTTAAGTTCAGATCAAAAGTGAACAGAAAGTTAGTACAGAGTTTCCACATCTCCCTTCCTATCTTCCCTGCTCCACAACCCACAGAGACAGCTTTCCCATTTGACGTCTTGCACCAGTACGGATATTTGTTACAAAAAATTAACCAACCCTGACACATCATTATCACCCAAAAGTCCATAGTTTACCTGATGGATCCTTCTTTGTGTTGTACATTCTTTGGGTCTTGACAAATGTATAATGACATATATGCTCCACATTAGTATCATGTAAAACAGTTTCACTGCCCTGAAAATCCTCTGTGCTCCATCTATGCATCCCTCCTTATCCTGCAAATCCCTGTAAATCATTGATTTTTTTTTTACTGCCTTCATGGTTTTACCTTTTTAAGAATGTCATGTAGTTGAAATTATGCAGTAGGTAGCCTTTTCAGATTGGCTTTTAAGTTTCCTTCATTTCTTCTTGCAGTATCATAGTTTATCTCCTTTTAGTGCTATAATATTCCATTGTCTGGATGTACTACAATTTATTTGTCCATTTACCTACTGAAGGATATCTTGGTTGCTTCTAAGTTTTGGTAACTCTAAATAAAGCTATTATAAACATTTGTGTGCAGGTTTTTGTGTTGACAGAAGTTTCAAGAGTGTGATTGCTGGATCACATGGTAAGAGCATGTTAAGTTTTGTAAGAAAATGCCAACCTCTCTTTTAAAGTGACTATACATTCTGCATTTCCACCAACAATATAAGAGAGTTCCTGTTGCTCCACATCCTCACTAGCATTTGGTGTTGTCAGTGTTTTGGATTTTAGCCATTCTAACAGGTTTGTAGTAGTATCTTATTGTTGTTTGAATTTGAAATTATCTAAATACATATGTTGTTTACATGCCCTTATGTTGAAAAATATGAGAAATAAATTGTATCTGCTTCACTTATTTTTCTGGGAAATCTTTCTGACACAGTGAGATGAATGATAAAAGTTCTTCAATTATGTCCTCTCATTATTTTTGATTTGTAACTAAACAATGTTTGAATTGCCTTAATAAGATTCTTGAGATAGTAAATTACTACAATCTCCTGATGTGACCCCCGTGGAAAATTTAAAAATTTTCAAATTAAGTCATGTATTTGTAGGTTCAGATGTGGGCTCTATTTTTCAGATAATATATTCCCCATATCATTAGGTGCATCCAAAGTTGACCAGAGGAGAATATGATTTCCATAGATGAAACAATAATGTTGACAGTCTTTCAGTAATTGTCATCAGATTGAAGCAATTAATAAGTGTGCAGTGTTAAATTAATTACATTTATTTTTCACAGGTGACTTTTAAAAAGTTTGGGTATTTTTTTTCTTTTGAGGGGAGAGGCTTAAAAAACAAATTTTGTTCCTAATTATTTTTAAAAAATGTTAATTCAGAAACATTTAACAGATTTCATTTAAACTCATATGGTCATAAAAGTCAAACTATCAAACAAAAATAGCATTGTGCACTTAACCACTTTTAATGATGAACCTTTAAGAGGAAACATGTAGAGACTCCTACACAATTTGGGAGCCATTAGGCAACATATATTTAATATTAAGCAAAGACAGCATTAAAAACTAAAAATCCTCAAATTTCAAGAGAATGCCTGATCAAGTCTTTGATATGCATTTGCACATGAGAAAAGAAATATTTTAATTTAAAAGAAACCAAGTCTGAGTGCTTACCCTTTCTTCAAATATAATCTCCTGTCTACCCTTCATTTTATGACTGCATACCCCTCACTCTACTTCATCTACACTGAACCAGTGTTAGTTCAGCATGATTGGCTTCACTCAAAGCCCTCTAGATCCCATTTCATATATCCCATCGACCACCATTATCCCCTTACATGTTTGCACAACCTTATACTGAGTATTACATTGTAACAGAGCTTGGGAATTTCAGTTATCCAAAGGTAATTATATATACACACGATTCTGTTTTATTGCACAGTTCACAATATAGCCGGTGATTATACTGGCAACCATGTTAAGATGAATATCGACTATGCAGACAAAAACATTGATTTTGTCCCCAACCACAAATGAAACAAGAAAGACACACATATTCGCCACCATATAAAGGTTGTGTTTACTCTGTGGTGCAGTCATGAAGGCTCATATCACTCTCAGTGTGTTAAATACAGAATTCATAACATTTCTGGTGGCATCACACATGAAGTATAGGACACAAGACCATAAATGTCCTGCACTCATGAGCCATTTGTGCCACATACGTAACAGAAAGGCCACTTTTAAAGCTATTCAGATATTCAATCATGTTTGCCCTTTTAATTTTTTTTTCTTTTTTTGAGACAGAGTATTGTTCTGTAGCCTAGGCTGCAGTGCAGTGGTGAGATCTTGGCTCACTGCAACCTCTGCCTCCCGGGTTCGAGCGATTCTCCTGCCTCAGCCTCCCAAGTAGCTGGGATCACAGGCATTGGCCACCATGCCTGGCTAATTTTTTGTATTTTTAGTAGAGATGGGGTTTCACCATGTTGGCCAGGCTGGTCTCGAACTCCTGACCTAAAGTGATCCACCCACCTTGGCCTCCCAAAGTGCTGGGATTACAGGCATGAGCCACCGTGCCGGCCTGCCTTTTCAAAATTATTACCACACTAGTTCACATTGAAGGTAAAAACAACAGTTAGAATCTCTTACTAACAACACATTTTGACTTCAAGCTCAGACAAAGCTGTTGGTTACAAGTTCTGTTGAATTTTTTTGTCAAATTTAAAAAGTCTATAGGACAACACAAAACCATCCCTGGTAATGTATTTGCAGTTTGGTCTTCAAAAGCTGTAAAGAGTGACACAGAAATAAAAAAAAATACTAAGTTAAAAACCATTAAAAGTATTTATTAATAATTGTTTTTAAACATCACTTATTTGAGACAGCAGAAACCAAAGAGTTTTCCTTAGAATTCTCACTTAGCTTGTATTTCACAAAAGTGAAATCTGCTTTAGAACTCAGATTTTTACCATCTGTATGGAGTGTAAAGACAAAAGGAAGCCCAACAAACCAAAGGCCCAATGGTGTCTATTCCCAGGGCCAAGGTATTAGCCCAGGCTAACCCACCTGCCCTGTGCTGAGTAGCTGGATACGCTTGTCAGTGCTCAGAGTCATGCACATGAATTAGTGGGTCAGGCACCAAGGTGCCTTTATTCATTTATTTCTCAAATTCAACTCCCTTCAAATCCTGACTCTGTTTAATAGGTCAAAGGATGCTATTCATCTTTATTTGGTGCCAAATTATTATTTTTTAATCCTTACCTCTACACCTTGAATGTAAACTGCAATATCCAGCACAATATCGTCAGACAGAGGTGCTGTATGGTTACTTAGCTTCATTACTGCCTGGCTAATGCTTAATATGCTTCATCCTTTACAGCTGAAAGAAGGATGTTCACTGTATTTAACCAGCCATACTGCATTTAGATGTAAACAGCTTTTATGGGCTATTTGCCCAGAAACTTTCAGTAAACTACCAAGTTGAGGCCCTGATTTTATTTTGGTCAGTATGTGCAAATATTCACATGCAGTTACTCAGAAAGAAGAAAAACTGGTTAACAAGAAACCTACCACCATGCCAGATGCTGGAAATAAATCTTTACAGAAAGGGTTTTAAGATTCATAATCCACTTTTTCAGTCTGTCTCTTATATTTCATTAGTCAATTGGAAGTGCCATATGAATCATTTTGCTTTATCTGGAAAAAATATTTTCACATTTTCCAATTCCTTTGACAAAGAAGTTTTCGTCTATTAAGGGATGAGAATGCTATTTGGCTATTGCCTACTTTTAGAATTCAAACTAACTCTTCAAATGTCTTCATTTAGAGCATATTCTCTCAAACTATCTTATTGTTTTACTAACACAACGGTAAAATTGGGTTTCCAAAATGTCAAAACCCTAATGGAGTCTCTATTTCCAAAGGTGAAATAAAAGACAGCCAACACTGTGAAAACTATCCTGAGCCTTTTTCCCACTCTGAAACATTTAGAAACTAGGGGGAAAAAAAAGTGGGATTGCATTAACAGACTTCCAAAACAAAATGTTATGGAAGTGTTTATCTTTTAAAAGGAGAGTTTTAAGGGAACAGGATGCTTGAGTATGACCAACTCCTGCTCAACAGGAAAAATAACCACAGACCTTTGCTGAGATGGCCCCAATAATTCAAAGAAACCAAGCTAACCAGAATTTGATCTATACACAATTAGTATGAAAATTTCTTAACAAGATGGAACACCTATAACAACATTTAAGTCCCTTCATCTTTTGGCAATGAAATAAGTGAAATCAACATAAGGATATTTTGGAAGCATTGAAGGTCACAGTCAGAATCAAACAGAAAACTTTCAAAACTAGAAAGCAAAATGGGAACTTTCATAACTCCTTGATCTACCATATCTAAACAGAAATAGTATAATGACTATACAATAGGTACTTAGTTTCAAAACGAATACAAGCAATTTATCATGAAACGCCTACACCTAATAAGCTGTTTTTCTTCTTTGTTCTGCCCCATTGTCATATGCTTGAGCTTAATGAAGACTATGCTCTGCAGCTGCTCCTGAAGGCAGAGACGCAAGCAATGGAGTAACAAAGGAAGCCTGAGGAGCCCCTGGCACCCGAGGACCTTCTCTCTGGCCGTTCACAGCCACTTATGTTTCAATGCAGAAGATTTCAAGACTGGTTTGAGAAAAATAATCCTGTTTTGGGGATTAGGTTCCCTGTCAAAGGCCATCAGATGGACAGCTATTTATCAGGCAATTAGCCTAAGGCTCTTAGGTAATGATAAAAAAAAAAAACAAAAAAATCAAAAAAAAAAAAAAACAGAAAACAAAACAAAAAAATCCCTTATATTTTCCTATTGGAATCTTTTATTCTGTTTTATTGAGGCTTAAGCAAAACAGCTTTGCCCATAACTCACTGTGGCCTGGAGTTATGACACCAACTTGTATTTGGCCAACTAAGAAAGAGGCCAAACTGCATTCTTCTTAGAAGGTCTATTCAGTTGATAAATGGCACTAAACTGTTGGTTTTTTTCATATAACCTTTACTCATAAGTTGCATTGATTATGCTCTAAGAGATAAGGGACTGATGGTAATTCAAATGGGCACCTCTGAAAAGATTTATCAGTTTTCTGTCCCGTTCCAGCCAGATTTTTTGGAAAACCTTGGGGAAAGACTGAAATTCCCCACCAATCTGAGACTGTATGCGAGTTTTTACATTAATTGGAAAAAAACAAGAATCCCAACATGGCACCCAGTGGACCTCCACAGATAAAATTATTGACCAAATGAGCACTGTGAGTCGTTTCTGTAGGCAGATGCTCCTTAATGGGACCTCAAAGCCCGCAAAACAAGACATTACTGAGTCCATTCTGGAAAAGAATGGGCACCAAGCCTCGATAATACTCTCCAATTCCATGACATTTCAGTGCCTTGAAGGCCTGATAAGTGTTGGTAAATCTGTCATGATGCTTGTGGTCTTGAATCAACGTCTGAACTATTTCCGGTGGAGTGAAAATTGCTTCTGTTGTCCCTGCGAGCACTGCCGCCATGCAACAGGTTGCAAACTCTGGAGCACTGACATGCTTGTGGAGAAGGCAGGATAAATCCTCATAGAGACCGAACGTAAGTGCAAGTGTAGCTGTCTTCTGCATCAATGGGGGAAGGATTCCAGGATACAAGTTTCGAAATCCATCCCTTCTCAACTAAAATATTGCATCCCGGGTTTTGATGCCATACAGCTGTTGTCGAAAGAGGACCGTCTGAATGGGATATGTGATTGCGATGTTGTTGAAGGCTGCGCAGCAGCCACACAAGTAATGCTTCATTTCACCAACATTTGTAATACGAGGTGATATATCTTGTTCTGAAGATGTTAGTGTTGGTGGCCTCTTTTCATGAGCTTCTGAATCCATCGTGTTGCTTAAGGTCTTTCATTTTCATGAAGGACTAACTTTTTTTAACCTGTAAGACAATCTGAGCCTGGAGTTTGGCAGGATGATAGCTTTTTGATAATGTTCTCAATTTCCTCCATTGTTATTGTTCTGTTAGTTTCTCTCTTCTGGAGTCAATTTTGATAACTGGATTTCCATTCTCCAGGCGCCCATCTCCCCAACCTGTGAAAAG
This sequence comes from Homo sapiens, assembly GCF_000001405.40. NCBI lineage: Eukaryota > Metazoa > Chordata > Mammalia > Primates > Hominidae > Homo > Homo sapiens. The sequence goes on along the minus strand of NC_000006.12, from coordinate 65,788,205 downwards.
CGGGGAGGGGGTTGGACAAGATCACTAAGTCCTCCTCCGTCTGACACTCCACAGTCAAGGGGTCCCGAGGTCAGGAGGCCGAAATCAGTCTCCCCGGAAACAGGGCCCCTTGCGCGGTGCCAGCCCCGCTCTGCCCCGGGCGCAGGCAGAGCCCGGCTCCTCCCCGCCCCTGCGGTTTCTGCGCACCAGGGAGGAGCCTCCCCAGACCGGGGCGTGACCGAATGAAGGCACAGCCTCCTTCCCGGGAAAGGTCGCCCAGCAGCCGGATAAACACCCGCAACAGGCGGGAGAGCCGGGAGGCGAGGAGGCTCAGAACTGATTCTGCGCGCGCCGCCTGGGTGGGGTCCACAGCGACTGGGCCAGGGCAGCCGGCGCGCGCAGAGGACTGGGGTGGACCCCTAGAGCGGTCGGCTGCCCAGACCGGCCCTGTTGTGTTTTTTCTAATCCTCTTGTTGGGAACAAACAAGTTCGTTGTAGGGTGAGGTAAGGTAAATTGCTTTTACCTTTCTCTCGTTGTGAAGTGGATCTCAAAATACTGGTGTTTGGTTTTTACTTTGTGTTAAATGCTAGGAGAAACCTTAAACTTTGTTGGCTCAGTGCTTCATTTGCTGCCTAAATTAGACAAGATCTCATTAGGATGGAAAATGTGTGCCTCCCTCCTCAAAAAAAAAAAAAAAAAAAAAGGTTTTGAAGCTCTAACTCCCAGCTTAAATATATTTGAAGATGGAGCCTCTAATTAAGTAATTATGGTGAAATGCGGTCATAATGGTCGGACTCTGTTTCGACAAGATTAGTGTCTTTATAAGAAAAGACACCAGAGAGGTCGCTCACTCTCTTAGTGCGCTGAGGAAAGGCCATGTGAGGTTACATAAAATGGAAGCCAGTTACAAGTCAGGAGGCGAGGCCTTGGCAGAAATCGAATAAACAAGCACCTTGATCGTGGACTTCTAGCCTCTACAATTGTGAGAAAATTGATTTCTTGTTGTTTAGGCCATCCAATCTGTGGTATTTTGTTATGACTGCCCAAGAAGACTAATAGGATCAGATGGGCTTAAAATACTATCACAGGATCCTTGGGGTGTCACTGTGCCAGCCAGAAAGCTGTGTGGGCTGCAGCATCTCTGTGTGAGTATTGCTTGCGCCGCTGGGCTCCTTTTGCCCGGCCCGCTAGGCTTAGCAGGCTGCGCTCCTCTCTTGCTACCGGCCTGGATCCCACGCCTGCTAAGGGAGAGCCAGGCACAGAGCACCAGGGGAGGGGTGTGTGGGTGAGCAAGCATGGGGTCTGGTCACTGCGCACAGCCAGGCATATTTTAGGAAAATCATAAGTTAATTTTAGCCAAATATTATGCTCTTACCATGGAGTGACCATGGAAGCCAAGAATAATACTATTGATAAAAGCCTTGTGGATATCACAGTTAATTGGTATCAGTACACATTATAGAAACTTAATTTATCAAAGAGGAAATAAGAATATATATAAGAAAATAACAAATAAAAAATAAATTAAAGTGTAACAGATTATTAATCTCTGAAATACGGAGACAAAGAGGTTTTCTATGTTACTTCTATAGACAGATAATAAAAAGGATTTCCTCATGGAAGTTTTCTCTTTTGTGTTCTAAATTGAAAAATCATCTTCAGATCAAAATATTCCTGAACTTGGCAGTGCATTTCCAAATTGTTCTTGGTGAAATTGTGTCAGTTAGAGAGATGTATACATGAATTAAAACATGAAGAAAGCTCTGTTTGGCGGAGAGACTAATAAGACTTTAAGAGAACTGCAGTAGGTAAAAATGGTGTTTCTAAAATCAAGTGTCTTCAGAATCTGGTCAAAGACCAACCATCACCAACTGTAGTGCAGAGAAACCTCCAGCACTGAACAGAGGCAACCAAGTAAATTCATAGCCATACACATAAAAGAAAGGTGTGACTTACAGGCCATAATTCGGCAATTCCTGATCTAGACAAGTATAAAACAAATAAACAACTACAAGACATAGGAAACTCTTCATTAAGTTTGAAACATTAAGGAAGACAAAATTTACCTAGTAAGGATTAACACATGATACGACTTTTTTATCTTACGAGCACTGGGGCCATCTTAAGGGACAGACTTCTTGGATCTATGCCCACTCTACTCTATAAACTCCTTCTTAAAAAGACTCAAAACAAAAGTGACAAGGACAAACAGAGAGAAAAGTTAGAGTGTTGCTACTGACGTGTTTTTACCAAAGATAAGAGTTTTCAATTCATGAGCACATAAGCAAATGATTTATAGAGGAGTGATTCCTCCATTCTCAGGAGATAAACTCAGCCATCAGTTTGAAATAAGAGATCAGTAATATTGTTTCTAAAGGAGTAAATAGTAAATATTTTCAGTTGTGGGGATCATATTGTCTTTGTCCTATCTGACACTGCTGGTGTGGCAGCAAAGACATAGACATAAATGAACAATTATAGTCTGTAGGCTATAACTGATCTAGACAATAGAAATCATAGCTCAGGCTAAATGTGGGGCGTAATTTACTATTGTGGTCAGAAAGGTTCCCATATAGGATACTTATTAGATGACAGGATAATGTACTGTTTCTGAATTGAGGATCTTCAACCATGCCAAGAAGATCTTAAAAGGTTCTTGAAGTGATTTCCAGAATGGATAATTATAGTCTCTTCCACAAACCACCAAAACATCTGTTGGTTAAGCAAATCTTAGTTTATTAAATTTGTGCAGCAACAAAGAACACTACCTGGACACAGTCTCAATAGTGTCTCAAAGACAGGATGTTAGCGAAGGGTATTTATGGGATTTTAAAGTATTAGCTCGAGTGGCTTAAAGTGGGTCTTTAGAGATGGGGAATGTTTTGGAACTGAATAAAGTTTTTACACAATAGGATTGCTAGACAAAGAAGGATGAAGATTTTGAAGACTAGTTGGAACTGTTGTAATAACTGAGCTGTTTCTTTAGGTGTGAAAAATGTTGTCTGACAGTTGTTTGCTCAGATGTGAACAAATAGTTTTCTCAGATACTTTTGTTGCAATAATTTCTTTAAGCAAACAGTAAAGTTATTTATTAGTTCATAATCCTAACTTCTTGGGTGAGGATTTCTTGGAGTAAACATTAAATTTATATAGGCACAGGCGCTTTTGTTTTTAAGGCAGACAGAGGCAGGGGCACTTTCCAGAAAAGTTCCAGCTTAGTAACAATATAAATGTTCACACTACAGTATTTTTATTGCCTGCCTACTTCCACTTCATGCCAACTAGTCAGTGGACTCTGTAGAACCAGAATATGTATTTTAATTAGTAAATCCTTAATAATGATAACTCTATTAATTTTAAGGATACTTTTACTTAAAAGGAAAAAAAAGTAAATATGGTGGAGGCTATAATATGCCACCCAGATCTCTTTTCTCGCGTGAAGTTGTCATTGTAGCTACCTGCTCAAATTTTGCCAATTAACAAGTCTTAGCTGTAAGCTCTCTTTAGCATTGTCTCAGCTGTAGAAAACTACTTTTCCCAATGTCATGACTCTTTCTGTGGGCAGACCCCTCCAATGGCCTAACAACATAGGAGTATGGAAGTCCTCTTCTCAATTTAGGACAACTCTGAAGTGTATCCTAGTTTCAGAAATCCTTGTGGGGTCAGCTGAGCATTGGTTGCAACTGAATAGCACTCACATTTTCTATATTCGTAATCCTCATTCCTTTTCCTCCATTTCAAGAACACTGATTCCAGCAGCCCCTATACATTTCCTGTGTGCATATCTACGTGTCATATTCCATTTCCTTTGTAATTCAACTTGAATGTTGAAGTCAGAAATGATCAAACAAGCAAATTTAAAGTTAAATTTTGGAGTTGAATCACTTGCTGCCTTAACAATGAGAAACTGTCATTGCAGGTAGGTGAAGTATAGACAGTTCCTGAAAAAAGATAGCTATGTAATTTATAAAAGTTACTGGTGGTAAGCTTTATGAACTAGTGGTATGGTTTATTTGTGGAGAAATATTTGCTCTGTTTAGATGAGAAGAATAGTAGAGTTGAAATAATGGCTATAAGGACAATGGAATTGGGTGGCTATAGCTAAGCTGTCTTAATATTCTGAGAAATGGGAATAACTACTAATTAAAATTAAGTATACTTCTGCTTGTAAATGTAGATAACAGAAAAAGGTCATTTCATTATGTAATTTTAAAAATCAGGTCAACTTTAAATTCAGATTTTATTTTTAAACTCCTTGCATAGCTAAGGATGCAGAACAACAAACTGGCCAAAATCTAAGGATAAAATACTTTTCTTGGGAAACAGTAGATGTGAGTACTTGCTCATCCGGGTTACAAGCCACTGGAAATCAGTAAGAAGAGTTCAAACAGAATATTTGAAAAGTTTTAAAAGCTGAATGTGAAGTGGTGAACAGTATAAACCTGTGGCCTGGGAGTCACAGAAACTGGGGAAGTTCATACCCTTTTGCAGACATACTTACACTAACTCTACTCACAGATGATATCAGAAAGATCCCTAAAAAGTTTGATTGGAATGCAAGCTGGGGTTGGGTAACAGGAGCTGTATAAAAGTGCAAGAAATTGTACCGAGATCTTTCTTGCATACCTTCACTGTGAAGCAAAAGCCTCAGTAGGTAGGTATAAGGACAAAAAGCATTGTTGTTTTTAAGGCATTGGTAAGGACTAATTGCATCTGTGGGAAGGAAAAAGGGGGAGGGGGGAGCTGTTCTTAGGAGAAGGGCAGGATAGGTACTCTGCCCACAACTACAGTCCTTGGTGGGTGAAAAAAGTAAGCCTACAATCCTGAGACTTGGGAACATAGTCATACCTAAGACAGAAGTTTAATCCAGAGCCACAGAGAATGGACTCCTCCAACTGCCCTCCTCATGACCAATTTAACAAGTTTTGAGTAACAATCAACAGTATATTATTCCTGGAAGAAGGACAGAAGGATCAAGAGAATGCAAAGGTCGTGAGGCAAATATAAAGGGAAGACCTAAATTTTATACTCCAACCGACATTGCTCTAAAAACTCAATCTATACCATAAACCCATGAAGTAGCTATAGGAATTTGAAATCTGTGGTTCACTGAGGGTACTCATAGCAACCAAAAACAAAACAAAACTAACATCTAACCCAACCCAACTCCTAATTAGATTACTTAACACCTTGCACTAAAGGCCCAGTAGAAGAAAAGCTGTGGCCATTTTCAGGAGTCAAGTCGTTTTTCTCAGCACACACAGGCATGATACTAATATTCAAACTGTCTGATGGAGAATTTAAAATAACTATGATTAAAATAGATTAATGATTCTAATGAAAAAGTTGCAAGATCAGATAGAAAATACCATAAAATGAAAACTAAAAAATTAAATGAAAATGCTACAAAAATTGTAAGAAAAATGTATTTGGAAAAATGCCACTGTCACAAACTTCAGAATAGACCCAAAATACCTAGGGAAATAATTAATGAATTTCAATATGAAATCATTAAAAATTATCCATACAGAAACGTAAAGAGAAAAAAGGAGAAAGAATAAAAACCATAAGACCACCAAAAGCTATGAATCAATGTTAAACATTGTAATATACGCATAATTGTGTCTCAAAAAAGGAGAAAAAATATTTCAATACCTAATGGATGAGGATTTTCCAAAATTATAATAAAGAGCCACCACAGATTCAAGAATCTCATAGAAAACCAAACTGGATAAGTAAGGGCACTCCACCAAAAATATCACCTAGACATATCATATTTAAACTTATACAAACAAAAGGTAAAGAAGAAAATCTTGAAGAAAGCTGTAGGGGGAAGGGGATCATTATATAAAGGAGAAAACTGTGAGAAATACTGAATTCTCTTTGAGACTATGTAAGTCAGAGGACAATAGAATGATATAAGTAAACTGGCAAACAGTTGGGGTTACCCTGACAACACATAACCCACAATTCTATTCCCATCAATATGAAAATAAATTGAAATGCTGAAGGAATTAAAGAAGGCATGCTGTGCAAAAAGAAAGCATAAAGGAGATGAAGTGACTACATTAATTTTATCACAATAAGTTTTAAAAATGTTACTAAAGACAACTTATCATCACAATTAAAGTATCTATTATTATCAAGAGATTAAAAACTGTGAATACATAAGCATGTTAAAACAGACCCCAGGAATATAGTAAGCAAACACAAAGAATTAAAAGAAGAAATAGACAAATTTTGAGTGACTTCAATATTCTACTCTCAATGATAGATACATTTACTAGGAAAAAAATCAGCAAATATATAGAAAACATGAACAACAAGAATAAATAAAAGACATATCACCAAATAGGGCATGCTAACCAACTTCTCACAACCCTCTGGGATGATGCCTGGTTTGCAACACCAAATAAGCCCCCAGAAGGTAAGGGGAATTAAGAATATACAGCAGAGGATGGAAATGATGATTGTTCTGTTGTGGTCCTGAGAATAGCTGCAGAAGCAAGGACTAGAACCTATTCCATTAACCTTAATCTTCTAAGTACCTCAGCAAGAGAGGTTCACCGCGACCCAAGCGGAACTACTCCCAGACCTCATTGAAGTTAGTGGACTATAATTGATATTATGATACATTGATTAGATGTCTTTTCATGCATGAACTCCCTGTGTTATCAACACACTAATTGTGAATTCTGCCCAAAGACATTTTTGCATTTAAGCCCTATTTGTGAATTGTTCCTCTGAAGAAAATTACCATGATCCACATTATTACTCCTTCCAATAGTAGCCTCACCCATGGCTTATCAAAGGAAGGGTAAAATGTCCTGGTTATGTCACTTCAACTTGAAACAATTCTGATGGGCCATATCTCCAGAGTACTCCCAAAGGGTGCCCTTTTGGTTGGGAGTGCATTACAACTCATCTTCGTCGTTTGCTCAGTTCTTTATTTCTGTTCCTTCCACAGATGATAATCCCAGGAGAACTCCACAACAAACATTCTTCAGGCTAATGTATGTCTCAGAATCTGTTTTCTAGCACCTGGGAACCCAACTGGCCATGGTAAAGTGGAGAATTAATTTTTCTTATTTTCAATGTAGAACAGTACACCATCTTTTCTTTTTAGTGGGAACATTCTTTTTCTTTTTGTTTTTTGACTCGTAATATTGTAACATACATTTCCTAGCCTTTATCAGGTGTCAGGTCTCAGCTAATGACTGAAAATGTTTCACAATTTTCTGTACATAAGCTTTTAACATAACCATTAACTTGAAAAACTACTTATATTTCTTAGGTCTTGTCTAAGAAAGAACTTTTTCTTTGTCACTGACATTGCGTCATATTGTTTTATCAAAATTTACTTACCACATTTTTTCCATTTGTTTTAAGCCGTAGTCACACGTAAAGTCTTTTGAAATTTTGTTTTTTTCATGTTTTTGAAATCTACTTTCTTAATATCTTGTGTTCAAATCTGACAACTCTTTACATTACTTTACTTGTCTATTATGAACACTAAAATGAAGCAGCTTTTTTTCTATACTCTTTCCACATCATAAATCCATTTTTTAAAAAAATTTTTGTCACATTAAAAAAAGAATAGCAATATCCATTTTCACTTTTACTTTCAAATGGGTAAAGTACTCCTATTTTTCCATCTGCCAGTGAATTATGTCTGACAATACAAAAATTAAATATATTACATATTTCTATAATATATTAAAAGTCATGAAATCGTTAAACAATTTATTTTTATTTTTATTATGAATAATTGGCCACAATTTATAATGCCTGCCATAAAAAAATTTACATACTGCTTTTTATTTTTTAAGTTCTCATATACCTATTTTTAATGAAACTGTAAATTTTTTTTTTATTATACTTTAAGTTTTAGGGTATGTGTGCACATTGTGCAGGTTAGTTACATATGTATACATGTGCCATGCTGGTGCACTGCACCCACTAACTCATCATCTAGCATTAGATATATCTCCCAATGCTATCCCTCCCCCCTCCCCCCACCCCACAACAGTCCCCAGAGTGTGATATTCCCCTTCCTGTGTCCATGTGATCTCATTGTTCAATTCCCACCTATGAGTGAGAATATGCGGTGTTTGGTTTTTTGTTCTTGCGATAGTTTACTGAGAATGATGATTTCCAATTTAATCCATGTCCCTACAAAGGACATGAACTCATCATTTTTTATGGCTGCATAGTATTCCATGGTGTATATGTGCCACATTTTCTTAATCCAGTCTATCATTTTTGGACATTTGGGTTGGTTCCAAGTCTTTGCTATTGTGAATAATGCTGCAATAAACATACGTGTGCATGTGTCTTTATAGCAGAATGATTTATAGTCCTTTGGGTATATACCCAGTAATGGGATGGCTGGGTCAAATGGTATTTCCAGTTCTAGATCCCTGAGGAATCGCCACACTGACTTCCACAATGGTTGAACTAGTTTACAGTCCCACCAACAGTGTAAAAGTGTTCCTATTTCTCCACATCCTCTCCAGCACCTGTTGTTTCCTGACTTTTTAGTGATTGCCATTCTAACTGGTGTGAGATGGTATCTCATTGTGGTTTTGATTTGCATTTCTTTGATAGCCAGTGATGGTGAGCATGTTTTCATGTGTTTTTTGGCTGCATAAATGTCTTCTTTTGAGAAGTGTCTGTTCATGTCCTTCGCCCACTTTTTGATGGGGTTGTTTGTTTTTTTCTTGTAAATTTGTTTGAGTTCATTGTAGATTCTGGATATTAGCCCTTTGTCAGATGAGTAGGTTGCGAAAATTTTCTCCCATTTTGTAGGTTGCCTGTTCACTCTGATGGTAGTTTCTTTTGCTGTGCAGAAGTCTTTTAAAAACATAACTAGTGAAGAGAGCAAATATATGGAAAATGTGATAAACATTTTGTTTAGTTTTCCATTTATCCATTCCTTTTTTTACCAATATTTATTAAGTGCCTACTATGTGTCAAGTGCTGTTAATAGGTAATTGGGATAGAAAAGTGATGCAAAGAACAAAAAAGAGAAAACTTCTGTTTCCATGGAATTTATAATCTGCTGAGGTGAGACAGACAATGAACATAATAAATAAGTGAATTATGCAGGGTGTGGATTGGCAAACCTTTCTGCAAAGACCAGATATTATATACTTCTTTAGGCTTTGCCAGCCACGGGATCTCTCATACTTTTACAAACTGGCACTGTGGTGACAAAGCAACCCCAGACAATAGCTAAATATATGGGTATGGCTATGTGTCAATAAAATTTTATTCGCAATAAGTGCTATAGAGAAATATTAAGCAGAATGAGGAAGATGGAAAGTACATGTGCCATTTTAAATAGGATGGTCAAGGAGTAGTCACTGTAAAGGTGATAGTTGTGCAAAGACAAAGAAGATAAGGGAGGAAAGTCACTTGGATATGAAAGGAAGAATGGTCCCAAGAGTAAGAATTAGGTCAAAGATTTCTATTAATTACTAAATTGTAATGTGACCTACAAGGGGTGATATTTTCTAAATTTGCACACTAATGATTGTCCTTTTCTTTTTGTCAAAGCTAGTGTCTGTTCTGTGTCTGTGCCATGCAAGTTATTAAATATTCAGACATCACCAAAGCTTACCACATAAAAAGCATATACCTCTATTTGGGAGGCTGAGGCAGGAGAATCACTTGAACTTGAGATGTGGAAGTTGCAGTGAGCCGAGAGTCTACCACTGCACTCCAGCCTGGGCAAAAGAGTGAGACTCTGTATCCAAAAAAAAATGTGTATAAATATAAAACATGAGTTTGGAAATTTGGGAATTATAAGTTTAGTAAATAATTCATTATTGTATAATTATGTCCCATTTACATATGGACTAATTCACATATATAAAATTGGCATGCTATTTACATGCTTCTAAATATTAAAAATATGAAATATTACATCATGAATAAATTATATTCCTATTGATAACAGAATTTTCTAAGAAAGTAAGCTAAGGTGATTACAAAAACTGTTTCATTCTATTTATATATTTATTTTATTTTCAACTTTTATTTTAGGTTCGGGGGTACACATGCAGGTTTCTTACATGCATAAATTGTGTGTCATGGGGGTTTGGTGCACAGAGTATTTCATCACTAACGTAATAAGCATAGTACTTGATGGGTAGATTTTTTATTTTTATCTTCCTCCCACCCTCAGCTCTCAAGTAGACCTTGGTGTCTGTTGTTCATTTCTTTGTGTCCGTGTGTACTTGATGTTCATCTCTCAAACACAAGTGAGAACATGCGGTATTTTCTTTTCTGCTCCTAAATTAATTCACTTAGCATAATGGCCTACAGCACTATCCATGTTGCTGCATGATTTCATTCTCTTTTATGGCTGTATAGAATTCCATGGTGTATATGTATCACATTTTCTTTATTCAGTTTACCTTTGATGGGCATTTAGGTATATTCCACATCTTTGATTGTGAGTAGTGCTGCAGTGAACACATGTGTGCATGTGTCTCTAAAGTAGGATGATTTGTGTTCCTTTAGGTATATACCCAATAATGGGATTGGTAGGTTGGAATGGTAGTTCTGTTTTAAGTTCTTTGAGAAATCTCCAAACTGCTTTCCACAGTGACTGAACTAATTTCTCTTCCCACTAGCAGTGTATAAATGTTTTCTTTTATCCATGACCTCACCAGAATCTCTTATTTTTTGACTTCTTAATGTTGGCTATTCTGATTGATTGGTGTGAGATAGTATCTCACAGTGGTTTTGATTTACATTTCTCTAATGATTAGAGATGTTGAGCATTTTTTCATATGCTTGTTGGTCATGTGTGTAACTTCTTTTGAAAAATGTCTGTTTATATCTTTTGCTCAATTTATAATGGGGTTGTTTGTTTTTTACTTGTTCATTTGTTAAAATCCTTATAAATTCTGGATATTAAGCCTTCGTTGGTTGCGTAGTTTGCAAATATTTTCTCCCATTCTGTAGGTTGTCTGTTTACTCTGTTGATAGTTTATTTTGCTGTGCAGAAACTTTAGTTTAATTAGGTCCCTTCTGCCAATTTTATTTTTGGTGTAATTGCATTTGACATCTTCGACATGAAGTCTTTGCCAGGGCTTATGTCTAGAATGGTGTTTTCTAGGTTTTCTTCAAGGTTTTCTATTGTTTTTGGTTTTACATTTAAGTCTTTAGTCTATCTTGAGTTGATTTTTGTATATGGTGAAAGGAAAGGGTCCGTTTTTAATCTTCTGCATATGACTAGTCATTTATTTTGCCATTAATTGAGTAGGGTTCCCTTTCTTCATGGCTTGTTTTTGTTGGCTTTGTCGAAGATCAGGTGATTGTAGGTGTGAGGCTTTATTTCTGGGTTCTGTAACCTGTTTCATTGGTTTGTGTGTCTACTTTTTAAGCAGTACTGTGGTGTTTTGTTTACTGTATCCTTGTAGTGTAGTTTGAAGTCAGATAGTATGATGCCTTCATCTTTGTAATTTTGCTTTGGATTATCATGGCTATTTGGGTTCTCTTTTGGTTCCATTGCAGCTTATAGCTTTCAGTGAATGCTAAGAATGAGTACTCAGACAATTCCAGCTGAGCGGGGTGAGGGGCAGCTCTTCTGAGAGAGTGCCCCCCAGAATCCATCCACCAAGTATTTATTGAAAGGGCTTGCTACTACAGACATCCACCAGATGGCATTTTGCCGTCGGGTCATGAGATACATATGGCCTTGTAAAAGCAGTTAAACTACATTCTTAGGAGACTGTTTTCAGCATTCCGTATCACACACTCAATTGCTTGTCCTGTTTTCAGGGTCAAGGAGTTACAGTCTCATGCACAAACAACATACACACAGTACCTCAGTGTTTTTCTATGCCCTGACCTCAAATGCCTTGTACAGAAGCTTGAATATATTGCTATGCAACCCCTTATATCCATATAAATTTTAGAATATATTTTCCTAATTCTGTGAAAAATGCCATTGGTAGTTTGATAAGAAGAGTGTTAAATCTGTACATTGGTTTGGACCATATAGCCATTTTAACAATATTGACTCTTCCTATCCATGAGTATGGAATATTTTTCCATTTGTTTGTGTTGTTTCTGATTTCTTAATTCAGGGTTTTTAAATTCTCATTCTAGAGGTTTTTCACCTCCCTTGTTAGCTGTATTCCTCGGTATTTTAATATTGTTGTGGCTATTGTGAACGGTATTTTGTTCTTGACTTGGCTTCCAGCTTGGATGTTTTTGGTGAATAGATATGCTAGTAAATTTTGCACATTGATTTTGTATCCTGAGGCATTGGTGAAATTGTTTATCAGCTCTAGAAGCTTTTAGGCAGAAACCCTGTTTTTTTTTTTAGGTATAAAATCATTATGTATGTGAAGAAAGATAGCTTGATTTCATCTCTTCCTATTTGGATGCCTTTTATTTCTTTCTCTTGCCTGATTGCTCTGGCTAGGACATCCGGTACTATGTTGAATAAAAGTAGTGAGAGTAATACTCTTCTTCCAGTTCGCAGAGGGAATGCTTCCAGTTTTTGCCCATTCAATATGATTTTGGCTGTGAACTTGTCAGAGATGGCTCTTGTCATATTATTTTGAAGTGTGTGTCTTCAATGCCTAGTTTATTGAGGATGTTTAATATAAAGGATGTTGAATTTTATCAGATGCTTTTTCTGCATCTATTGAGGCAATCATATGTTTTTTGCTTTTAGTTCTGTTTATGTGATGAACCATATTTATTGATTCATGTATGTTGAACCAACTTTACATCCCAGGGATAAACCCTACTTGATTATGGTGACTTCACTTTTTGATATGCTACTGTATTCAGTTTGCTGAATACAGTATTTTCTTGAGGATTTTTGTATCTATGTTCATCAGGGAAATTGGCCTGAAGTTTTAACTTTTTCTGCTGTGTTTCTGCCAGGATTTGATATCAGGATGAGTTAGGGAGGAATCCCTTCTCCTAAATTTTTTGGAATAGTTTCAGCAGGTTTGTTACTACCTCTTCCTTATACATCCGGTAAAATTCAGCTGTGAATCTGTCTGGTATAGGGCTTTTTCTGGTTGGCAGGCTTTTATTATTGATTCAATTTCAAAAGTCATTATTGGCCTGTTCTGCGTTTTAGTTTATTTTTAGTTCAATCTTGGGAGTTTGAATGTTTTCAGAAATTTATCCACTTCTTGTAGGTTTTCTAGTTTGTGTGCCTAGAGATGTTTGTAATAATGTCTTGTCTGAAGGTTTTTGTTTGTTTGTTTTTGTATTTCTGTGATGTCAGTGGTTATATCACCTTTATCATTTCTGATTGTGTTTATTTGTATTTTCTCCTTTTTTTATTAGTCTACCTACCAGTCCATCAATATTATTTATTCTTTCAAAGAACTAACTCTGGTTTCATTGATCCTTTGTATGGGTTTTCATGTCTCCATTTCATTCAGTTCAGCTCTGATTTTGGTTATTTCTTTTCTTCTGCTAGTGTTGGAGTTGTTTATTTAGTTCTTCTAGGTGTGATGTTAGCTTGTTAATTTGAGATCTTTCTAACTTTTGAGATGGGCATTTAGTGCTAAAACTTTTCTTATGACTTTTCTTATAACACTGCTTTAGCTGTGTCCCAGAGATTCTTGTATGTTGTTTATTTGTTTTCATTGGTTTCAAAGAATTTCATGATTTCTGCTTTGTTTACCCAAAACTCATTCAGAAGCAGGTTGTTTATTTTCCATGTTATTGCATGGTTTTGAGAGATCTTCTTGGTACTTATTTCTTTGCTTATTGCACAGTGGTCCAAGATCGTGGTTGATATGTTTTTGGTTTTGTGAATTTGTTGATTTGTTTTATGGTTGATTGTGTGGTCGATTTTAGATTATGTATCATGTGCAGATGAGAATAATGTATATTCTGTTGTTGGGTGAAGTGTTCTGTAGACATGTGTTAGATTCATTTGGTCAAGTGCCAAGTTTAGCTCCCAGTTATCTCTGTTAGTTTTCAGCCCCAGTGATTTGTCTAATACTGTCAGCAGGGTGTTGAAGTCTCCCACTATTAGTGTATGGTCATTTAAATCTCACCATAGATCCCTATGAACTTGTTTTATGAATCTGGGTGTCCCAGCGTTGAGTGCATATATATTTGGGATAGTTAATTCTTCTTGTTTAATTGAACCCTTTATCATTATGTTATGCCCTTATTTGTCTTTTTGATCACTGTTTGTTTGAAGAAGTCTGTTTTGTCTCAAATTAGAATAGCAACACCTTCTCTTTTTTGTATTCTATTTGCTTGGTAGATTTTTATCCATTCCTTTACTTTGAGTCAATGGGTGTTACTACATGTGAGATTGGTCCCTTAAAGATAGCATATAGTTGGGTCTTGCTTTTTTATCCAACTTGCCACTCTGTGCCTTTTAATTGGGGCATTTATTCTGTTTACATTCAACGTTAATATTGATACGTGTGGATTTGCTTCTGTCATCTTGTTTTTAGCTCCTTGTTATGCAGATTTGATTGTGTGGCTCCTTTTTTAGTGTTAATGGTCTATGTACTTAAGTGTGCTTTTGTGGTGGCTAGTAACAGTCTTTTACTTTCATGTATAGCACTCCCATAAAGATTTCTTGTAAGCAGGTCTGATGGTAACAAATTCCCTTCGCATTTGCTTGTCTGAAAAGGGTCTTATTTCTTCTTTGCTTATAAAGCTTAGTTGACTGGATATGAAATTATTGCTTAAAATTGTGTTTCTTTAAGAATGCTGTGTATAAGTCTTCAATCTCTTCTGGCTTATAGGGTTTCTATTGAAAGGTTTGCTGTTAGCCTGATGGAGTTCCCTTTGTTAGTGGCCTGTCTCTAAATGCTTTTAATATTTTCTTATTTCACATTGACGTTGGGAAATCTGATGATTATGTGTCTTGGGGAAGGACATCTTGTATAGTATCTCACAGGGGTTCTCTGCCTTTTCTGAAGTAGAATGTTGATGTTTCTAACAACGTAGAGGAAATGTTCATCGACAATATCATCAAATACTTTTTCCAAGTTGGTTCTTGTCTCTCCCTCTCTTTCAGGGATGCAAATAAATCCTAGGTTTGATTTCATGTGTAGCACTAATCTCACATTTACACATTACATAATCCCACATTTCTTGGAGGTTTTGTTCATTATTTAAATTATTTTTTCTTTATTTTTGTCTGACTGTGCTGATTTGAAGAACAAGTCTTTGATCTCTGAGATTATTTCTTCAGTTTGGTCTATTCTGCTGCTAATATTTCTAATTTTATCATCGAATTCCTAGAGTAAGTTTTTCAGCCCTATCGGGTTGGTTTTGTTTTTTCTCTTAAAATGGCTATTTTGTTTTTCAGCTCTTATATCATTTTATTGGATTCCTTAGATTGGGTTTCAACTTTCTCCTGAGGCTTGATTATCATCCTAATCCAGATTCTGAATTCTGTGTGTCTCATTGCAGCCATTTCAGCCTGGTTGAGAACTATTGTTGGGGAACTGGTACATCATTTGGCAATAAGAAGACACTCTGGCTTTTTGAGTTGCCAGACTTCTTGTGTTGGTTCTTTCTCATCAGTGTGGACTGATGTTCTTTTAATCTTTGAAGTCGTTGTCTTTCGGATGGGTTTTTTTTTGTTTTGTTTTTATATTATTTGATGTCCTTGAGAGTGGTATAAAGAGGGTTCCGTTGACTAGCTTCATTTCTGGAAGATTGTACTGGGCCAAGGCTCAACCCAGCACTCCTGGGCTGCATGCTGTAACACTTGATGGCTGGTACCTGGCCCATGGCTTTGTTCTCTGGCCTCTCGAGGTTGAGCACCTCCTGCCCTGGAGGGGGCAAGGTGTTCCTCATTTGTTAACAGTAACACTCAGGTCGGGAGTACCAGCCAAACTGTTTCATCATGGTGCTGATGAAGTGGGATCCATGCTTGTACACATGTGTTAGTGGCAGTGGTGGCAAAGTGGAGTCAGCAGTGGGGTCCGTGCTTATGCACATGTGTTAGTGGCAGTGGTGGTGAAGTAGGGTATGTGTGTCAGCTGGGGTGGGGCAACAGCAGAAGTTGGGTGGCAGGTCTGTGTGTGCACATTCGCATCAGTAGTGGTGGTGAGGCAGGGTGCAAACATGCTAGTGGAGGCAGGGTGGCAGCCATGAGATCTGCACATGCATGTGTGGGTGGCAATGGGGCAGTGAGTTCTGTGTACGCTCTTGCACCAGCAAAGTGGTGCAGAAGTCCATGAGCAAATGCATGCTGTCAAAGTGAAGGGAGGAGGCTGTGGATGGGTGGGTGCCCATCAGCAGGGACTTGTCTTTTGAATCTCTTCAATGGTTGTGCTTGGTCTGCTGGCAAAGGAGCTATAATGTCAGCTGCCAAGAAACTGCCCCACACCCCCTCAGGCATCCAAGGCTGTGCTGCAAGTGGGCATGACCAGGCAATGACCGTGTCAGAGGCCAGCACACAGTGGGGCACTGAGATTAGACTTTCCCCTCCCACAGGTAAGACCACACTGCTGTGTCCAGGTTCGACAGTCAACAAAAGCCAATGCCCCCTAAAGGAGCATAGCAAGCCTTGGGGGATCGATGTCTTGGTCATGTTCCATGGCAGCTGTTCCCATGCCAAACCCTCTTGGCTCTACATAGGCTGGAATCTTATCCCCAACACCTCTCCAAGCAGCTCTCCCTGTTAGCTCAAATGTCCATGGAGGTCATGGGGTCTCCTGCAGCTAGGATTCTGGAGGTCTGTGGTGAGAATGGGTCACTCCTCACCTATTTAATTCACCTCTTCCCCCAGAGCCCCCGGGGGCCAGGAACCAGAGTATACCATCCTTCTTGATCATCTGATCTCTGTGGGAGATGCTCTTCCTGGCTGCATCGAATCATCCATCTTGGCTCCCAATCTATATATTTTATTTAAAATGCAATGAAAAAGGCTTCAAAGTTTCCTTTTCTAATTGAGATCCTTTATAATTCATTATATTCATTAATAATTTATAATTATGCAATATGTTTAACATCATGAGAAATAAATAAACATCTCTTAGGCTCTTTATCAGTTTTTTAGAGAATAAGAAATAGTTTGAATTAATGTAATATAATTTCTGCTGGTATGTTCTTATTTCTTCCCTTGCATCAGGGAGGAATTTGAAGTCACTATTTGAGACCCAGGGAGGGATTTGAAGTCACTAATTGAGACCTAGGTTTCATGATCAAATAATTATTTTTTATTTTATAGCCTCATGTAAAATTGTCCAAATATTTCTTATCATTCTTGTTATCAGGTGTATGTCAAGCACTGTATTGAGAAAAAAAAAAACACAACAAACGTTTGGAAAAGATAGAGGCTTGTTAGTAATTTTCATAAACTTGATATAATCAGAAGCAGCATCCAAGTCTAGGTGAGATTTTTATTTTGTGTATTAATTTTAACTTTAAAATTGCCAAAATGAGACTGGTTAAAATTCCATTGTACTTTAAAATTTAATAATAGAAATCAAAAGATACTTATGATGACATACAGATAATAAGAAAATAATGCAGTATATCATAAAATGCTCACCTTAAAACTGTAAATATTTTAGCTAGCTTTGACGAAAAAGATAAATTACATGCCCTTGACATATATTCAGAAAGTGAATTGTTGTAGAAAGGTGTGAAATGTATTCTATGGTAGCAACACATTATCTGTACTTGAGCACTGAAACAATCAAATGTATTAGTGATGTTACTTTATTAGACAGGCTTTTATACCAAATAAATTTTATTTAAATGTTGGATGTATAAAAACATGGAATAATGCATAATTTAAAATGTTAGCAGAATATTCTTAAAATTTAATATCATCTTGTCCCACCCCCATTTGTGTGTCATGTGTTATTAGGGAAAGATTAGCAGTTTATAAAGTTCTCCTCATGAACGTGTTGATTGATACCTTATAGTTGATTAATATTTTTCATCTTCCCTCTCTGTCATATTCTTTCCTGCCAGAATTCTACCTACTATGTATAAGTAAAAATGTCCAATTCGATTGTTGACATGACTAGCAAGAGAAAAACAAATTGGACATTCACAAATCGCAGCTTCCATTCAACACTTAATTCAGATATTAATTTTTGAAGAAAATTAAAATAGAATTTTGTCAAAGCAGCTGCCAGGTGGCAAACTTGAAGGATATTTGATTTTTAGAGCTCAAAATGCCTTTTAAAATTTAAAATAAAATGACTATCAAATCAAAATTATTTTTACATAAAATATATACATTCTTTGTATTGTTAGTGGTGAAGAATATATACTTTTTAGTCAGATTACCTGAATTATAATGTGGATTCCAGTGCTTAATTGCCATGTAAGTTTTTACACTTTTTAAGACTCTCTGTGATTTTGTTTCATCGTCTTTAAAATGAAGTAGTAATAGTATTTTTGTTTTTTTGTTGGTTAGATTTATGGAATTACTTAATACTGGTAGACAGGGTTGGGTACTAATTATGTACTGTGTACATGTTTAAGAGCTTTTTTTCTGGAAATTAGGTACTATTTTAACATACTTCAGTAGTATCAATATAGAAAACTTCATTACTAATGGAAAATGGTTACAAATATATGTGATTCACGGTCACACTAAGTACAAATTTAAATATAAGTATAAATAAGGGGATGGTGTCATATTCATAATTTGTTTATCACTGTACATCTTATATAACTAGCCAGAAACTGATGAATCTAGTGATCAGATTCTTTAAGCCTCAAGACATATATTTGTGAATACATGAATATCTGCACACATTAAATTTTCCCCACTTTAAAGAAATAACACTATCCCAGCGTTTCATGTAAAATGATCACACACACATCATTCTATATTATTGTAATAACATTACCATGTCATAGAATTTGAAGGTTTTGTTAACTACACTTCATTGATAAATAAAATCTCTAAGAAGTTTGTAGCAAGTTAATGGCGACTCTAGACTAAAAATCTCTGTTGTACCCATTATACATTCATAATAATTTCATTTACACATACTTCTAAAAATTTGTGTTGATTGCCATCTTCTGACATATTTCATGAAAATGAGAGATAAAAGGGGTTCGAATGGACATAATTTTATTATTAGAGAATAATAGAGGTTATATATCTTCAATATTTTAAATCAATAGAGATAGAGACTTAAATGTAGAACAGATAAAATAGAGGAATAAATGGATATGTTCTTAAGGCAGAATTGTCTCAGATTCTTCTTGATCCAGCAGTTTTTCAATGGGGGTTGATAGAAGAGAAAGAAGTATAAGAGGAGGGGCAGAGAGGCAGTGTCTCCCCAGGAGGCATTTTTGACCCACACAATAAATGCATAGAATACAGTGTTGGGTGGGTGGGATCCAGAAATGTTAAACTTTTGCCAGAAACAGGGCAACTCCTAACTCGAAGTTATTGTTCCACTTAAAGTTCCAGTAATACCTCAATACTGGTAAGGGTCTTTTTTCTAACATATTTTAAGGGATATGACTATTTCATCAGTTAAGAATTGTACAAACAATATTTTACCGTATATCATGGCTTACTGTGTTCCTCAAACTATGTATCACAAGCAAGTAGAAAACTTATGAATTTAGATTAAATTTCTTCTAACTTTTTGGTAATTCAAATAACTGGCAATACCTTCTGCCATAATTGCCCCCGTTTTAGTTGAAATAAAAGAAAAACAAAGTTTACATATAGGAAAGGGTTTTATTGGAAAATTACCAGATTCTATAAAGCCATTGTCAAAATCATTTTTTAAATTGTATTATTATTATACTTTAAGTTTTAGGGTACATGTGCACAACATGCAGGTTTGTTACATATGTATACATGTGCCATGTTGGTGTGCTACACCCATTAAAAATCATTTTTATCTGAGTTGCCTCTATCAGAGTAATGAATCAATGTGGTAGTCTATAAGTAACAGAAATCAGTCAATAATTCTTAAAATAAGTTAGGAACTCATACTTGTTTTAAATAATGAGATGTACATTGGGAAGTCCAGACCCAAAGTAGCCACTCAATCACATTGATTTCCCTCTTGTTTCCATATATGTGTTCTGCCATCCTTAGGCTACCATACTTGAGGTGACCTCATGGTTATGAGATAGCCACTAGGATGCCTACCATCCCATTTGCCTTTCAGGTAGAAAAAAAAAAAAAAAGACAAAATGGCATATGCTAGTTGACTCCTCACCCTACTTCCCTTTAAGATTCCAGTTTCATGACCTAAAACTACTGTTAAAGCTCTTTAGCCAGAAATAACCAGTTACAAGGCTAGTCCCACTTGTCTAGGGGGCAAGAAATTGCAGTTTTCTTTGCCAGTGCGTTTCATTTCCAATAAAATCAGCTTTCTGTTGTTAAGGAAAAAGACAAGAATGGATAAAATATAGGCAAATGGCAGTTTCTGCCACAAGGATTAAGGACAATAATTAGGTAAATCAGAGTAAATGATAAAAGAAAAATGTTTGTGGAATGGGGTAAAGGAGATTAGCTTATTTGGCATGGAGTTCAAGGCCTCTGATGGCCAAGATATGTATAGACAGGCGAAGGCAGTAGCTGGGCAGGTCTGCCAATTTGTTGATATAATCCAAGCAAATAGGACATTTTGGCAGAGGAAATATTAGCTGTAGAAAAGACCATGTTTGCTGTGCTAATGTGAGTAGTTCAATTTGGGATGATAAGGATCTGGTCATGTAATTTTATTCCCTGTGCAGCTAGTAACTTACCCATCATAATTATACTTACATCTTATTTTTTATTTTAATTTTATGTCCAGGTCCAGAGGAAACTAAAACATAACCAAATTTTTCATTCAGGAGTTATTAATAAATTTGCTATGAATTTTTGGCATGTTTTCTAAAAGTAAAACGAATTAAACACATTTCCTGAAAAATTATTTACTATCCATCCATATGTAACAATCTTGCTCAATTTCAGACATATAAGTAACAAAGCCAAAAGTAAAACCCATTTCTCCTTCAAGCCAAGTCTATGTATTAACCCACTCAACTATACCAAAATCTCTTCAGGACTTTGCTGAATCATGACATTAATGGGTATGAAATGACTAGATGAGGAAAGTGGGTCAAACTAACTGCATATGACTAGAAGCACATGGAAAACCATGTTTAAGCCTGGGCAAACATCACTGTGAATGTTATTAGCAAACTGCTAAGCAACTCAGATGGAAAAAGGTCTTAAACTACAAATGCAGGGACCTATTAAAGAAAGAGGTTTACTTAGAAAAGAAAAAATATGTATGAAGACCACTTGTGAAAAAGCGATTAGTATTACTTGGACTTGTCTCAAATGACAACTGAGTTTAGCTACTGATACATTAGCTTGACACTTAAAATCATCAGTGGTACCCTGGGACATCATGAGTGTTTGGGGTTATGTAAGCAATCTAGATAATTATCTTTATGGAATGAACTTTGTTTATTTATAGCAAGAGTACATATAAAGGATTAGGTGTTAGGCCAACTCCTCACATTTTCACTACTTTTGACCTTATACCATTTCAATAAAATATCTATTTGATTGGCATTTTCAGAGCTTTAGTGAGAACAGAAAGTATGCTATAAAGAGCAGTGCTTTCAAAGCATGGTTATCATTCCACTGTCACCAAGCTCATATGGGTTCTTGAAACAAAAGCCAGTTAATAAACCCTGGCCTAAATATACTAAATAATAATAGCTACAAGTGGACACCAGCAATTTGAATTTCTCACAGCTCACAAGATGATTCTTATACTCTAAAGATTGAGAAATATTGGTATTGGGGATGGACATTCATCTATTACTTGTTCATTGCCTTTACGTGATGGCAGATATGTGGCATTCAAGCCCCTTTCTCAGTCTTGCACACCACCAGGCAGTGTCACTAGTTAACATAGCACCCTTGATACTGAACCCAGGTTAAGCCTTAGAGTCCTTTTCAACACTATACTCCACTTATCATCCCTTATGTGTTGGTACATGAGTTGAATCATACTGTCAACTCAACACTGATAATTACTCAAAAAATATTGATAGAACTTGACTAAATAAAATGTCTACTGTGCACTTACATTCCTTTGGTGAAGAGTACAAGTATGAAGCTCCTTAATAGTCTCCAAACTTAAGGAGATGAATAAAGGTCTAATTTGTATTTTGTTTCTTAGTAATAAAGGAACATTTACCCCTAGCCTAAATGTTGAGACTAAGCTGATTGAAACAGCTGTAGCCAGTTGTCAACTAAATTCTCTTTACTATTAATCGGAAACATGCTCCTGAGTCTGTGGAAAGTAGACAGTGTTAGACAAAAGTAAAACTTTTATATTTATTGAAGTCAGATAAGCCTATATAAGTCAAAAGTCTTTAGATTTTAATACAGTAGGTAATTTCATTGCTACTGACATGTAAAATAAATATACACAATGGGATACATTTGTTGTGCTTTGAGAGATATGTAAATTGTGTGATTTTGATACCTAGATATCAGTTATATTAATTTAAAGCACTTAAGAGCTTGAAATTGAATAATATAATTCTTCTCAACAGATTGCGAAGTAGGAAACCTAAGCCAAGTCAAGGTTGACAATCAATATGAATTATTTGTCATCCTCCATACTCATAATATGAAGAAAAATCATGTTTACTTTATACCAACTGCATTTAGATTTTTAGGATTATTATTATTTTAAATGTGCAATTTAGGAAATGTCTAAGGCTTATATGTACATTAAGAAAAGACTTACATGTACATTAATAAAAGATAGAAATAATAATATTTTGAAAGTGTTATTTTTTACTATCTCGAAAATATCTTTAAAAAATGACAGATCTTGGATGTATGGTGGTTCTTTTATTTGTGCCTTACACCATTTCTATAACTGTTTACCTAGATAATAAGTTCTATAGGACTTTTAACAGCTTTCCAATAATATTTTTAGCAGAAATTATTAGGTTGGTGCAAACATTTTTGCCAAGGGCAAAAACTGCAATTACGTTTGCACCAACTTAATAGCAAAGTGTTTTATGCGGTTCGGTATTAAGAATGCTAACTGCTACATTTCCATCCCCATTCTTTTAGAACCCACAAATTCTTAGTGACTGCCCTACTGTCAAATCCAGGAGTGGGCCTTGGCTTATACTAATTACTAGATCCCAGGGTGCATTATAGCGGTTGGTCACGTAAGGGTGTGTGGTCCAATGTGGCTATTAAGAATTGCAATAGTTTTTGTTTTTTTTTGAAGTTATCTGTTTGCTCTGGATATGAAGGTTTTTGTCATCTACTTTCATAACACTCTAAATAGATAAAACTTGAGGAAATAAACCATCATTTAAGATAAGAAACAGAGGCCAGGCACGGTGGCTCACGCTTGTAATACCAGCACTTTCGGAGGCCGAGGTGGGCAGATCACAAGGTCAAGAGATTGAGACCAACCTGGCTAACAGGGTGAAACCCCGTATCTACTAACAATACAAAAAATCAGCCGGGCGTGGTGGCGGCGCCTGTAGTCCCAGCTACTAGGGAGGCTGAGGCAGGAGAATGGCGTGAACCCGGGAGGCGGAGCTTGCAGTGAGCCGAAATGGCGCCACTGCACTCCAGCCTGGGCAAAAATGTGAGACTCCGTCTCAAAAAAAAAAAAAAAAAAGATAAGAAACAGAATATTTATAACTTTATTTTGGAGTGAGAATATGTTAGAGTCTTTATTAATCAATTTTCTAGGTACTACAACAAAGTGAAAAAAATGTATATTTTGTGTGTGTGTGTGTGTCTGTGTGTGTGTGTCTGTGTGAAGTATGCTTTGTTCTGAATAGTGACAGATGATGAAAAAACTAAGCTGGAAATGAGTATGGGAAGTACAGGCAGAATTAACCTTTAAACGGGGGTATGAGTAGGATGGATTTGGTCTCGGCAGACCAAGAATTTTACTACAGTAACTGGAAAAGAAAATAAATTGCAAAAAAAATGTGTTTGTAAAGACAGCGGAGACTGAAGCAACAAGGACTTAATGAGTTAAAATTTCAGAGAAAGAAAAGTCCTTTGAAATGAGCTAATGATTGCCAGTTATTTTTTTCCTCCATTTTCCAGATCTGGTACAAACTGTTTCTATTCACCTGAGTAGACAAACTGTAAGGAAATAAAAAGACAGTAGATATTTGGCCATCTTGTGGGGCTAGCCTCACACAGTGAAAACTCAAAATTCTGGTAATTCATTTCTTGGAAATGAATCACCCCAAAATTTAGTTAAATTTAAACTTAAAATTGAAGCAATAATTTTATTTTCTTTTATACTTTCATTGGGACAAAAATTCTGGAAATTTTCAGCTTGATGATTCTGGCCCAGAGTCCCTCATTTGGCTGCAGTCAGCTGTGACTGGAGCTGTACCAGTGGAGATGGAATAGTTGAGGACTAGATCTCTCTCTCTCTCTCTCTCTCTCTCTCTCCAGATCCATGGGTCTCAGAGCTTCCCCAGGTCATCTCTCTCTATGTGGTCTCCGGGCAATCAGATTGCTAGCATGGCAGCTGAAGGTAGTAGAAATGAAAGTGTACCAGCAAGAAAGGCAGAAGTTGAGTCGCTTTTTATGACCTAGCCTTGGAAATCACTGGCTCCCTTCCATCACACTCTGTTGGTTGAAACAGAAGCCTACCCAGTTTCAAGGGAAGGGACATAAATCCTAGCTCTCAATGGAAATAATAAGAAAGGCTGAATGAAAGCCCCCAGGGAGTCATTCCAAAACCAGGGACTACACTCAAACATTTTAACTGAAATGGGAGTTGTGAGGTTGACCATCTGTTTGGAGAACCACACTGGAGGCATTGTCAACTTCCCCTGGTTATATTAGGCCATGCTTGGTACTCCTGCACAATTGTCAATACCATTTTGTATATACCATATACACTCCAGGGACTGTGTTTTCTCTGTGGAACTAGACATTAACTTGCTTCCCTCCCCAAAACATGGTGATCTGGAACTTTCGGTGGTCATAAGAGACCTGTATGACTTTCAGGAAATTCTACCAGTAAATCATGCATTCCTCAAGACAACCTGAATATCTCTCCAAAAGACAACTGCCCTTGGTTCCTAAAGTCCTAAAGGAAGACTCCTAGAAGAATATGTGTGTGTTCATGTGTGTGAATGTGTAAATATCAACCCCTTCTTCTCCCATTCTCCAAACAAAACTCTTAAAAATAATTGCTTGACTACTTGGAGCTTAAAACACATTATCCTAGAAACATGCTATTAAAATGATAGTAACAAAATACAGGATATTGAAGTAACTCAGTCCCTAGCTAATACCACGTAACTTGGTTTGTCATGGTCAAGGAGCCCTGTTGCATAAAGGAGAGAAAACAATGGAAAAGGGTATTTTCAGCATCCTGAATGCAAGACAGGCCACTGAAAAGAATTCAAAATATGTACAACTCATCTTTGGCACTCAAGACCATGACTAGGGTGAGGCAAATAAGACACAAAATTTAGGAGCTCACCAGAAAACTTAGTAACCAAATAAATAATAGTTATTGTGATATTATTATTTGAAGGAATCATATTGGCAAACTAATCTGACAATTGTTTCACAAAGTGGGCTGGACACTTGTTTTCATAAATAAAGTTTATCCTAACTACATGCATGCATTTCTTTCTCATCTCCTGAAAGCTGAATATTCCATTTGTTTAGCATTTTATATTGTTCTAATAATTTTACTAGCACAACTGTTGTTGGAGGGTGATGACTAAGAAATATTATATTTATGTACCCCTTTAATTATTTTATTGTTTGGACTTTTCTGGATATCAAAGTGAAGTATACATTTTAATGCATTTTCAGAGGAAGATAGATTTCCCCTGAGCCTAACCAGTGGAATAGGAATATTTGGATTTAAGCACATAGAGAAGTCTGCCCCTACCTTTGAATCTGTTACATGGTTCAATGGTTCAAATTATTTTTTCAGGTTCTACTACTTTCCAGCTGCTATTTCTGAACTTACCTACTTTCTGAAAACTGGAGTTCATGTGTGAGTTATTGCTTTGTTTTCAGCATTTATCATGACAAAGGCAGCAGCAACATCTCTGACATGAGGAGGGAGAAAAAGGGCATGGCATGAATCGTGGTTGGAGATTACTCTTTATAATTTATGAGTTTATTTGGATAAGGCCTATATACAACATCCATTTCTACTGCAGTTCAGTGGAGCTGAAAGAGTGTGAATTATTGGATGGAAATCCACGTTGATGTTACTTATGTAGACAATCCGGTGATTGAAGGTTTGCTGTACAGTATTTCCATTGTAAAACTAATATTTCCTCCATGGCTAATGACACAGGCAAGAATTCTCATGAAATGCCGCTTGGCAAACAAAAATGAGAGGCCTTATATTTCTTTATTACTAAAGATTTGTTACCTTCAATACTAAAAGAGTTACCACATTAATATTAGGGAAATGATACCCTATGAGTTCTTGTTTCTAAAATTGTCAGAGCCTCATACATTCTTATTCAGATTATTACATTTATATTGGATTGTAAAATAACCATCCTGGAGACAAGTGGTAAAACAATTTTTAAAGTGCAAAGACTTATATTACATGTCAAGTGATTATTTTCAGGGAGCAAAAATCAAATTCTATCTGCTGTGCAGCAGGATAGATTTTATGATAATAGAAAACACTTGCAAACAAACCTTACTGTAGTTTTAAAAAATTAGACAGTTCTCTGCCTCTGAACATTGCCTTTATAAATGATCCATGAATGGCTGCTGCCAACATCCTCTCTACTGAGTTCTCTCATCCTCTCATTTCCCTTTCTCATTTTCGCTTGATTTCAGCTGCTTATGATGCTTATAAGATGTATAGATGCTGTAGCTCTTGGAAGGTGACATATCTAGAGCACCGACTAGAACAGTGCACATCCTTGAATTACATCATTTCACTCACCCTATTCCAGTGGCTGAAACTATAGATTGGAAAACAAACAAACAAAAATCCCCAGTTCTAAAAAAAATTCACAGGGCAATTTGTGAAGAGACACAGCACTCCCAATTGAGGAAGTAGGGTATTCCATGTTCCCAGAAACGAAGAACTTGTATCAGACCAAGAAAACAATATTAAATATTTGTAGTTACTTCTTAAGATGAGTGAAAAGGAAAAACTCCAATTAATCATAGAAAGCAAGACCAAGCAGCCAGGTAGGGACCAGCAACATTAGCCTCATTTAAGGATCTGGGGTTGATACGGATGTGACTCAGTCTATCACATCCCCACCCCCCCTCTTGCTAGGAGTAATGCAAAAGCAAGCAAAAATTCATACCTGATGAGAACTTTCATTCTCTCATGGGGAAAAGATATTTCTTCAGATATCCTTTTATAGATGGAATTATCTGCATTTACAATAAATTTCTTGATAAATTCATTTAAAGTAGAAGATATATTACAAAAATATCCAAGTTCTGTTAACTGAGAGAGAAGAAGGAAAGGAAAGTAAGGCAGCTTTTGCAAAAGATTGTCTGCTTTGCTATCCCAAGGACCTCTTAATGTTTAACATAGTCCAAATTTCACTAAATGTTTCTGTGTGTGTAGACTTTTATTATGAAAGCCAACAAAAGGACCAAGCTTTGGATCTTGGTGACATAAAGAAAATCTGAGACAACCTATGGATACTAGGTTACCCATGAACAGGTGACTAAACTTCAAAATTGAAAAAGCACAACTGCTATATTGGAGTCCATCCGCCCACACAGTAGTATCAGGACAATGCCTTTCCCTGATGAGTTGGATGACTCACCAATAAAACATCCTAGGGCAGACTAGGTCAACTCTGCTTTAGTCATCCTAACTACAGCACCACTGTCCCCATCCTACCATGTGTTTTGTTCAGTAATTCTTCAAAGAGATAAAGTATTGTGAACAAAACCTTTTCTCTCTTTTAGGGTATATACATAATTACTTTTCCAGAAATAAATTTTATTGAGCATATTGAAGGTATTCAATATGATGTTATAAGATACCACACCCCACGTGCATATATATAGTAAAATGAAATAGTGAAACAAACATTTCCAACATCTCACATAGTTACCCATTTCTCCCCTTGTGGCTAGAACAGCTATAATCTACTAATTTAGCAAAAATCCTGATTACAATAGTCCTCATGTTGTACAGTAGATCTTATGGCTTGCTCATCCTACAAATATCTACCACTTTTTAACTTGTAAAAATATTATTTTCAAATATTAAGTTTTCCATAAGCTTCAGTGTAGTTTTCTTCATACAAATGATAGAATTTTTAAATTAGATTCTTTTGACTAAATAGCACAGGTGACCATTTAATCTTCTGAAGGAGATTAATCTTCTGAAAGAGATGAAGACCTTTTGGAAGTAAGGCAAGGTTTTAGATTTTACACATAATGTGATCGACCTACAAAATACTTAAATATTATTTGCTCATTTGTAAAAAGGTATATTTTTATTATATTATTTTTATTACTTCTGTCAAGACTTGAATTTGTGTTTATATTGAATACGGGTTCTCTGACTCTGTTCTCAGAAATCTGATTTTGAAAGCCTAGGATTGTTCCTATTTAGAAATTTCCCAATTAATTTTTAATGTAGGTAGCTTTAACACAGTTTAGGTATACACAGGTTAGATATACAGAATTCCTAATGATTCACTTAAAATCATAGAAATGCATATTAGGCCAGGCGTGGTGGCTCACACCTGTAATCCCAGCAATTTGGGAGGCCCAGGCGGGCAGATCACGAGGTCAGGAGTTCAAGATCAGCTTGACCAATATGGTGAAACCTGGTCTCTACTAAAAATACAAATATTAGCCGGGTGTGGTGTGGTGGCGCACGCCTGTAGTCCCAGCTACTCGGGAAGTTGAGGCAGGAGAATTGCTTGAGCCCGGGAGGCGGAGGTTGCAGTGAGATCGTGCCACTGCACTCCAGCCTGGGTGACAGAGCGAGACTCCATCTCAAAAAAAAAAAAAAAAAAAAAAAAAAAAAGGAAATTCCTTCAAAAAAAAAAAGGAAATGAAAAAATAAAAATAAAAACCTTAGAGCATCAGCAGATGGAGAAAGAACAGTGGAAACAGCAGAAATAAAGACAGCATAAGCTTCTAATGAGTTATATAAATTATATTTGATGATTGAAATAAACTATAATACCATCTGATGGTGTTAAGGGAAGATAAAGTGACTAAATGTAAGTAAGATTTTCATATTTCACTTGAAATTGTAAAAACTCCAGTAGACTTTGATAAGCTACATGTATATAATGTGTTACTAAAAATCAACAACTACAAAGACAATACAAAGAGATAAACTCAAAAGCACTATAAATTAGTTAAGATCGGATTCTAGAAAATGTTTGAGTAGCCCAAAGAAAGACAAGAAAGAGAAACAAACAAAAAGCAAATAATAAAATTGCAAAATTATGATTCAGAAGATCAACAATTATCTTTAATGTAAATGGTCTAAATACACTGATTAGAAGACAGGTATGCATAGTGTTGGCTAAAAAATACTCACCTATATGTTGTTTATAAGAAATTCTTTAAATTTAATGATATAGATAAGCCAAAAGTGAAAGGATGGAAAAAGGTGTGTCATGCAAATATTAATGAAAAGAAAAGCACAATTGTCTATATTAATATTTGATAAAGTAGATTTCAGGGGAAATAAAATTATTAAAAAAGGATATTATATAATTAATAAAGAATTAATACCGTATGAAGAGAAATAATCATAAATTTGTGCAAAACACGGAGCTTCAAAATTTATGAAGAAAAAACTGACATAAAATGACCTTATTGCCAAAAGCAATCTATAAATTCAATGCAATTCCCGTACAATACCATCATCATTCCTCACAGAACTAGAAAAAAAATCCTAAAATTCATATAGAACTGAAAAAGAGCGCGCATAATCAAAGCAAGACTAAGCAAAATAACAAATCTCGAGGCATCATATTACCTGACTTCAAACTGTAATATAAGGCTATAGTTACCAAAAAGGCATGGTACTGGTATTACAAACAGGCACAGAGACCAATGAAACAGAATGGATAACGCAGAAATAAAGCCAAGTTCTTACAGCCAACTGATCTTTGACAAAGCAAACAAAAACATAAAGTGAGGAAAGGACACCCTATTCAACAAATGATGCTGGGATAATTGGCTAGCCACATGTAGAAGAATGAAACCGAATCCTCATTTCTCACTTTATACAAAAATCAACTCGTGATGGATCAAAGACATAAATCTAAGTCCTGAAATGATAACAATTCTAGAAGATAACGTTGTAAAAACTCTTCTAGACATTGGCTTAGGCAAAGAGTTCATGACCAAAAACCCAAAAGCAATTGTAACGAAGATAAATAGATGGGACTTGATTAAACTAAAAGCTTCTGCACAGCAAAAGGAATAATCAGCAGAGTTAACAGGCAACCCACAGAGTGCAAGAAAATCTATGCATCCAACAAAAGATTAATATCCAAAATCTACAAAGAACTCAAACAAATTATCAAGAAAAAAAATCCCATCAAAGAGTGAATAAGGACATGAATAGACATTTCTTAAAAGAAGATACACAAATGGTCAACACATATGAAAAAATGCTCAATGTCAGTAAATATTAGGAAAATGCCAGTCAAAACTACATTGTGATACCACTTTACTTCTGCAAGAATGGCCATAATTTAAAAATAAAAAAATGATAGATATTGGAGTAAATGTGAGAAGAGAGCATTTTTACACTGCTGGTGGAAATTTAAACTAGTACAACCACTGTGGAAAACATTATGAAGATTCCTTGAAGAAATAAAAGTAGAAATACCATTTGACCCAGCAATCCCCATTACTGGGTATCTACCTAGGGGAAAATAAGTCATAATATGAAAAAGACACTTGCGCATGCATGTTTATTTATAGCAGCACAATTCACACAATTGCAAAAATACGGATCCAGCCCAAATTCCCATCAACCAGGGAGTGGATAAAGAAAATGTGATATATGTATCAGCAATTACAAAATCACAATCAATAATATGTGATATATATCACATATATATCATATATAAATGGGATATATAATATATAATTTATATATACAATATATATTATATAATCATATTTTCTTTATCCACTCCCTGGTTGATGGGAATGTGGGCTGGTTCCATATTTTTTTAATTGTGAATTGTGCTGCTATAAACATGCATGTGCAAGTGTCTTTTTCATATTATGACTTACTTTCTTCTAGGTAGATACCCAGTAGTGGGGATTGCTGGGGCAAATGGTATTTTATGTTATATAAATTACAACATATATAATGATATACATATATTATATATCATATTTTCTTTATCCAGTCTGTCATTGACAGGTATTTAGGTTGATTCCATGTCTTTGCTATTGTGAATAGTGTTGCAATGAACATATGCTTGCAGGTGTCTTTATAATAGAAAGATTTATATTCCTTTGGGTATATACCCAGTAATTAGATTGCTGGGTCGGATGATATTTCTGTCTTTACGTCTTTGAGGAATTGCCACACTGTTCTCCACAATGCGTGAGCTAAGTCACAATCTCACCAACAGTGTATAAGTGTTTTTTTGTGTCCACAACCTTGCCAGCATTTGTTTTTGTTTTGTTTTGCTTTTTGTTGTTGTTGCTGACTTTTTAGTAATAGCCATTTTGAATGGTGTGAAACAGTACCCCATTGTGGTTTTGATGAACATTTCTGTAATGATCAATGATGTTGAGCTTTGTTTCACATGATTGTTGGCTGCATGTATGTCTTCTTTTAAAAACGTCTGTTCATGTCCTTTGCCCACTTTTTTGTGGGATATTTTTGTTGTAAATTTGTTTAGGTTATGAATGCTGGTTATTAGAGCTTTGTTCAATGTGCAGTTTGCAAAAGTTTTCTCCTATTCTGTAGGTTTTATGTTTACTCTGTCAAAAGTTTCTTTTGCTGTGCAGAGCCTCTGTAGTTTAATTACATTCCATTTGTCAATTTTTGCTTTTGTTGCAATTGCTTTTCACATTGTCTTCATGAAACCTTTGCCTGTATATGTCCTGAAATGTTATTGCAAATGTTGTCTTTCAGGGCTTTTATAGTTTGGGGCTTTAAATTTAAGTCTGTAATCCATCTTGAGTTAATTTTTGTATATTGCTAAAAGAAGGGTCCAGTTTTTATCTTCTGCATATGGCTCACCAGTTATTCTAGCACCATTTATTGAATAGAGAATCCTTTCCCCATTGCTTGTTTTTGTCAGGTTTGTTGAAGATCAGATCATTGTAGGTGTGCAGTCTTATTTCTGGGTTCTCTATTCTGTTCCAGTGGTCCATGTATCTGTTTTTATACCCGTAGCATATTGTTTAGGTTACTGGAACCCTGTAATATAGTTTGAAGTCTGGTAGCATGATGCCTCTAGCTTTACTCAATTGACTTAGGACTGCCTTGGTTATTCAAACTCTATTTGGTTCCATATGAATTTTCAAATACTTTTTTCTAGTTCCATGAACAATGTCAATGGCAGTTTAATAGGCATAGCATTGAATGTATTGATTCTTCATATCCATGAGCATGAAATATTTTTCACTTGTTTTTCTCATCTCTGATTTCTTTGAGTAGTGGTTTGTTGTTCTCTTTGTAGAGATTTTTCACCTCTCTAGTTAGATGTATTCCTAAGTATTTTATTTTATATATATATATATGTAAGTTCTGGGGTACATATGCAGAACATGCAGGTTTATTACATTTGTATACATGTGCCATGGTGGGTTACTGCACCCATCAACCCGTCATTTACATTAGGTATTACTCCTAATGCTATCCCTCCCCTAGCCCCCCACCCCTGACAGGTCCCAGTGTGTGATGGTCCTCTTACGGTGACCATGTGTTCTCATTGTTCAACTGCCACTTATGATTGAGAACATGTGGTGTTTGGTGTTCAGTTCTTGTGTTAGTTTGCTGAGAATGATGGTTTCCAGCTTCATCCATGTCCCTGCAAAGGACATGAACTCATCCTTTTTCATGGCTGCATAGTATTCCATGGTGTATATGTGCCACATTTTCTTTATTCAGTCTATCATTGATGGGCATTTGGGTTGGTTCCAAGTCTTTGCTATTGTGAACAGTGCTGCAATAAACATATGTGTGCATGTGTCTTTATAGTAGAATGATTTATAATCTTTTGGGTATATACCCAGTAATAGGATTGCTAGGTCAAATGGTATCTCTAGTTCTAGATCCTTGAGGAATCGCCATACTGCCTTCCACAATGGTTGAACTAATTTACACTCCCAACAACAGTGTAAAAGCATTCCTATTTCTCCACATCCTCTCCAGCATCTGTTGTTTCCTGACTTTTTAATGATCACCATTTTAACTGGCATGAGATGGTATCTAATTGTGGTTTTAATCTGCATTTCTCTGATGGCCAGTGATGATGAGGTTTTTTTCTTTTTTTAATTTCATTTTATTTTATTTCATTTTTTATTATACTTTAAGTTTTAGAGTACATGTGCACAACATGCAGGTAAGTTACATATGTATACATGTGCCATGTCGGTGTGCTGCACCCAGTAAATCGTCATTTAACATTACGTATATCTCCAAATGCTATCCCTCCCCCCTACCCCCACCCCACAACAGGCCCCGGTGTGTGATGTTCCCCTTCCGGTGTCCATGTGTTCTCATTGTTCAGTTCCCACTTATGAGCGAGAACACGCGGTGTTTGGTTTTCTGTCTTTGCGACAGTTTGCTGAGAATGATGGTTTCCAGCTTCATCCATGTCCCTACAAAGGACATGAGCTCATCATTTTTTATGGCTTCATAGTATTCCATGGTGTATATGTGCCACATTTTCTTAATCCAGTCTATCATTGTTGGACATTTGGGTTGGTTCCAAGTCTTTGCTATTGTGAATAGTGCTGCAATAAACATATGTGTGCATGTGTCTTTATAGTAGAATGATTTATAATCCTTTGGGTATATACCCAGTAATGGGATGGCTGGGTCAAATGGTATTTCTAGTTCTAGATCCCTGAGGAATCGCCACACTGACTTCCTCAATGGTTGAACTAGTTTACAGTCCAACCAACAGTGTAAAAGTGTTCCTATTTCTCCACATCCTCTCCAGCACCTGTTGTTTCCTGAGTTTTTAATGATCGCCATTCTAACTGGTGTGAGATGGTATCTCATTGTGGTTTTGATTTGCATTTCTCTGATGGCCAGTGATGATGAGCATTTTTTCATGTGTCTTTTGGCTGCTTAAATGTCTTCTTTTGAGAAGTGTCTGTTCATATCCTTAGCCCACTTTTGGATAGGGTTGTTTGTTTTTTTCTTGTAAATTTGTTTGAGTTCATTGTAGATTCTGGATATTAACCCTTTGTCAGATGAGTAGATTGCAAAAATTTTCTCCCATTCTGTAGGTTGCCTGTTAACTCTGATGGTAGTTTCTTTTGCTGTGCAGAAACTCTTCAGTTTAGTTAGATCCCATTTGTCAATTTTGGCTTTTGTTGCCATTGCTTTTGGTGTTTTAGTCATGAAGTCCTTGCCCATGCCTATGTCCTAAATGGTATTGCCTAGGTTTTCTTCTAGGGTATTTATGGTTTTAGGTCTAACATTTAAGTCTTTAATCCATCTTGAATTAATTTTTGTATAAGGTGTAAGGAAGGGATCCAGTTTCAGCTTTCTGCATATGGCTAGTCAGTTTTCCCAGCACCATTTATTAAATAGGGAATCCTTTCCCCATTTCTTGTTTTTGTGAGGTTTGTCAAAGATCAGATGGTTGTAGATATGCAGCGTTATTATTTCTGAGGGCTCTGTTCTGTTCCATTGGTCTATATCTCTGTTTTGGTACCAGTACCATGCTGTTTTGGTTACTGTAGCCTTGTAGTATAGTTTGAAGTCAGGTAGCATGATGCCTCCAGCTTTGTTCTTTTGGCTTAGGATTGACTTGGCAATGCGGGCTCTTTTTTGGTTCCATATGAACTTTAGTTTTTTCCAATTCTGTGAAGAAAGTCATTGGTAGCTTGATGGGGATGGTGTTGAATCTATAAATTACCTTGGACAGTATGGCCATTTTCATGATATTGATTCTTCCTACTCATGAGCATGGAATGTTCTTCCATTTGTTTGTATCCTCTTTTATTTCATTGAGCAGTGGTTTGTAGTTCTCCTTGAAGAGGTCTTTCACATCCCTTGTAAGTTGGATTCCTAGGTATTTTATTCTCTTTGAAGCAATTGTGAATGGGATTTCACGATGAGGTTTTTTTCATATATTTATTGGCTGCCTAAATATCTTCTTTTGAGAAGTGTCTGTTCATATCCTTTGCCCATTTTTTGATGGGATTGTTTATTTTTTTCTTGTAAATTTGTTTAAGTTCTTTGTAAATTCTGGATATTAGCCCTTTTTCAGATAGATAGATTGCAAAAATTTTCTCCCATTCTGTAGGTTGCCTGTTCACTCTTATGATAGTTTCTTTTGCTGTGCAGAAGCTCTTTAGTTTAATTAGATCCCATTTGTCAATTTTGGCTTTTGTTGCCATTGCTTTTGGTGTTTTAGTCTTGAAGTCTTTTCCCATGCCTATGTCCTGAATGGTATTGCCTAGGTTTTCTTCTAGGATTTTTATGGTTTTAGGTCTTACATTTAAGTCTTTAATCCATCTTGCATTAATTTTGTATAAGATGTAAGGAAGGGATCCAATTTCAGCTTTCTGCATATAGCTAGCCAATTTTCCCAACACTATTTATTAAATAGGGAATCATTTCCCCATCGGTTGTTTCTGTCAGGTTTGTCAAAGATCAGATGGTTGTAGATGTGTGGTGTTGTTTCTGTGGCCTCTGTTCTATCCCATTGGTCTATATATGTGTTTTGGTACCATGCTGTTTTGGTTACTGTAGCCTTGTAGTATAGTTTGAAGTCAGGTAGTGTGAGGCATCCAGCTTTGTTCTTTTTGCTTGGGACTGTCTTAGCTATGCAGGCTGTTGTTTGGTTCCATATGAAATTTAAAGTAGTTTTTTCCACTTCTATGAAGAAAGTCAATGGTAGCTTGATGGAGATAGCATTGAGTCTATAAATTACTTGGGGCAGTATGGCCTTTTTCAGGATATTGATTCTTCCTATCCATGAGCATGGAATGTTTGTTTTTCCATTTGTTTGTGTTCTCTCTTTTTTCCTTGAGCAGTGGTTTGTATTTCTCCTTGAAGAGTTCCATCATGTCCCTTATAAGTTGTATTCCTAGGTATTTTATTCTCTTTTTAGCAATTGTGAATGGGAGTTGACTCATGATTTGGCTCTCTGTTTGTCTATTACTGGTGTATAGGAATGCTTGTGACTTTTGCACGTTGATTTTGTATCCTGAGACTTTTCTGAAGTTGTTTATCAGCTTAAGGAGATTTTGGGCTGAGACGATGGGGTTTTCTAAGTATACAAGCATGTCATCTGCAAACAGAGAGAATTTGGCTTCCTCTTTTCCTAATTGAATACTCTTTATTGCTTTCTCTTGCCTCATTGCCCTGGCCAGAACTTCCAGGACTATGTTGAATAGGAGTGGTGAGAGAGGGCATCCTTGTCTTCTGCCCGTTTTCAAAAGGAATGTTTCCAGTTTTGTCCCATTCTGTATAATATTGGCTGTGGGTTTGTCATAAATAGCTCTTATTATTTTGAGATATGTTCCATCAATAACTAGTTTATTAAGACTTTTTACCATGAAGGGCTGTTGAATTTTGTCAAAGGCCTTTTCTGCATCTATTGAGATAATCATTTGGTTTTTGTCATTGGTTCTGTTTATGTGATGGGTTATGTTTATTGATTTGCGTATGTTGAACCAGCCTTGCATCCCAGGGATGAAGCCAACTTGATCATGGTGGATAAGCTTTTTGATGTGCTGTTGGATTCAGTTTGCCAGTATTTTATTGAGGATTTTTGCGTCTATGATCATCAGGGCTATTTGCCTGAAATTTTCTTTTTTTTTTTGTTTTCTCTCTGCCAGGTTTTGGTATCAGAATGATGCTGGCCTCATAAAATGAGTTAGGGAGGAGTCCCTCTTTTTCAATTGTTTGGAATAGTTTCAGAAGGAATGGTACCAGCTCCTGTTTGCACCTCTGGTAGAATTCAGCTGTGAATCTCTCTGGTCCTGGACTTGTTTTGGTTGGTAGGCTATTAATTACTGCCTCAATTTCAGAACTTGTTATTGGTCTGTTCAGGGATTCAGCTTCTTCCTGGTTTAGTCTTGGGAGGGTGTGTATGTCTAGAAATTTATCCATTTCTTCTGGATTTTCTTGTTTATTTGCATAGAGGTGTTTGTGGTTTTCTCTGATGGTAGTTTGTATTTCTCTGGGATCGGTGGTGATATCCCCTTTATCATTTTTTATTGCATCTATTTGATTCTTCTCTCTTTTCTTCTTTATTAGTCTGGCTAGCAGTCTATCTACTTTGTTGATCTTTTCAAAAAGCCAGCTCCTGTAGTCACTGATTTTTTGAAGTGTTTTTCATGTCTCTATCTCCTTCAGTTCTGCTCTGATCTTAGTTATTTCTCGTCTTCTGCTAGCTTTTGAATTTGTTTGCTCTTGCTTCTCTAGTTCTTTTACTTGTGATGTTAGTGTATCGATTTTAGATCTCTCTTGCTTTCTCTTGTGGCCATTTATTGCTATAAATTTCTCTCTACACACTGCTTTAAATGTGTCCCAGAAATTCTGGTACACTGTGTCTTTGTTCTCACTGGTTTCAAAGAATATCTTTATTTCTGCCTTCATTTCATTATTTACCCAATAGTCATTCAGGAGCAGGTTGTTCAGTTTCCATGCAGTTGTGCCATTTTGAGTGAGTTTCTTATTCCTGAATCCTAATTTGATTGCCCTGTGGCCCGAAATACTGTTTGTTATGATTTTTGTATTTTATTCTTTTTGTGGCAATTGTGAATGAGAGTTCATTTCTGATTTGGCTCTGATTTGGCTTGATTGGTGTTCGTGTATAGCAATGTTAGTGATTTTTGCACATTAATTTTATATCCTGAAATTTCCTGAAGTTGTTTATCAGCTTAGGAAGCTTTTGGGCTGAGACTATGGGTTTTTCTAGATATAGGATCATGTTGTCTGCAAACAGGGATAGTTTGACTTCCTATCTTCCTATTTCAATGCACTTTATTTTTTTTTCTGTTCACTGATGGCCCTGGCCAGAACTTTCAATACTATGTTAAATAGGAATGGTGAAAGAGGGCATTCTTGTCTTGTGCTGGTTTTCAAGGGGAATGCTTCTGGCTTTTGCCCACTCTGTATGATGTTGTCTGATATGGTTTGTCATACATGGCTCTTATTGTTTTGAAGTATGTTCCTTTAATACCTAGTTTATTGAGAGTTTTTAATATGACGGGATATTGAATTTTATTGAAAACCTTTTCTGCTTCTATTGAGATAGTTGTGTGGTTTTGAACTTTAGTTCTGTTTATGTGATGAATCACATTTATTTATTTGCGTGTGTTGATCCAACCTTGCATCCCAGGATTAAAGCCTACCTGATCTCAATGGATAAGATTTTTGATGTGCTGCTGGTATTGGTTTGTCCATGTTTTGTTTAGGACTTTTGCAGTGATGTTCATCAAAGATATTGGCTTGAAGTTTTCTCTCTCTCTCTCTCTTTTTTTTTTTCTTATCTCTGCCAGGTTTTGATATTAGGATGATGCTAGCCTCATAGAATGAGTTAGGGAAAAGTCCTTTATCCTTAAATTTTTGGAATAGTTTCAGTAGAAATGGTATCAGCTCTTCTTTGTACATCTGGTAGAATTCAGCTGTAAAACCTTCTGGTTTTGAGCCTTGGTTGGTAGGATATTTATTACTGCTTCCATTTCAGAGCTCATTATTGGTTGTTCAGGGATTCAGTTTTTTCCTGGTTCAATCTTGGGAGCGTGTATGTGTCCAGGAATTTATCTGTTTTTTTCTAGATTCTCTAGTTTATATGAATAGAGGTGTTTATAATATTTTGTGATGGTTGTTTGTATTTCTATCGGGTCAGTGGTAATATACCTCCTTCATTTGTGATTGTGTTTATTTGGATTTTCTCTGTTCTACATTAGTCTAGCTAACAGTCTATCTATTTTATCAATTTTTTTCAGATAAAAAAAAACCCAGCTCCTGGATTTGTTGATATTTTGAATGGGTTTTGGTGTCTCTATCTTTTTAAGTTCAGCTCCGATTTTGGTTATTTCTTGTCTTCTGCTAGCTTTTGGATTTGTTTGCCCTTGGATCTCTAGGTATTTTAGTTGTGATGTTAGGTTGTTAACTTGAGATATTTGTAACTTGTTGATGTGGGCATTTAAATGTGGGCATTAACTTTTTTGCTATAAGTCTCCCTCTTAACAATTCCTTAGCTGTGTCTCAGAGATTCCAGTATGTTGTATCTCTGTTCTCATTAGTTTCAAAGAACTTCTTGATTTCTGCCTTAATTTCATTACATACCCAAAAGTCATTCAGGAGCAGTTTATTCAATTTCCATGTAATTGCATGGTTTTAAGTGAATTTCTTAGTCCTTGGTTTCTAATTTGATTGCGCTGTGATCTGAGAGACTGTTATTTCAGTTTTTTCACATTTGGTGAGGAGTGTTTTACTTTTGATATGTGATCAGTTCTAGAGTATATGTCATGTGGTGATGAGAAGTGATGAGAAGGATGTATAGTGTGTCATATTGGGGTGGAGATATATATATATATATAGATATTCAGTTCCATTTGATCCAGTGCTGATTTTAGGTCCTAAGTATCTTTGCTAATTTTCTGTCTCAGTGATCTGTCTAATATTGTCTGTGGGGTGTTAAAATTGCCCACCATTATTGTTTGGGAGTCTAAGTCTCTTTGAAGGTGTCTAAGAATTTGCTTTATGAATATGGGTGCTCCTGTGTTGGGTGCTTATATATTTATAATAGTTAGAGATTTTTCTTTGTTGAACTGAAACCTTTACCATTATGTAATGCCCTTCTTTGTCTTTTTTGATATTTGTCTGTTTCAAATCTGTTTTGTCAGAAATTAGAATTGCAATCGCTACTTTTTTTCTGTTCTCTATATACTTGGTAGATTTTTCTCCATCCTTTTATTTTGAGCCTATGTCTGTCATTGCCATGATTTGGGTCTCTTGAAGACAGCATATTGATGGGTCTTGGTCCTTTAGCCAACTTACCACTTTGTGTCTTTTAATTGGTACATTAAGCCCATTTACATTTAAGGTTGATATGATATGTGTGGATTTTATCCTGTCATCATAATGTTAGCTGGCTATTTTGCAGACTTGCTTATGTGGTTGCTTTATAGTGTTACTAGTCTGTTTACTTCAGTGTGTTTTTGTGGTGGCTGGTAACGATCTTTCCTCTCCATATTTAGTGCTTCCTTCAGGAGCTCTTGTAAGGGAGGTCTGGTGGTAATGAATTTCCTCAACATTTGCTTATCTGAAAAGGATGTTATTTTTCCTTTGCTTATGAAGTTTAGTTTGGCCAGATATGAAATTCTGGGTTGAAATTTCTTTTCTTTAAGAATGTTAAATATTGACCCCCAGTTATCTTCTGGTTTGTATGATTTCAACTGAGAGATCTGCTGTTAGTCTGATGGGCTTCCCTTTGCTGGTGACCTGGCCTTTCTCTCTAGCTGCCCTTAACATTTTTTGTTTCTTTTGCCCTTGGAGAATCTGATGATTATGTGAATTGGGGATGATCTTCTCATAGAGTATCTTATTGGAGTTCTCTTGATTTCCTGAATTTGAATGTCAGCCTCTCTAGCTAGGCTGGGGAAGTTCTCATGGATTATATCCTGAAATATGTCTCTTCCAAGTTGGTGCCAGTCTTCTCATTTCTTTCAGGTATACCAGTCAGTCATAGATTTAGTCTCTTTACATGATCCCATATTTAGAGGAGGTTTAGTTCATTCTTTTTCTTCCTTTTTTCTCTATTCTTATCTACCTGTTTTATTTCAGAAAGGTAGTCTTCAACTTCTGAGCTTTGTTACTCTACTTGGTGTACTCTATTATTAATACTTTTGATTGCATTATGAAATTCTTGTGGTATGTTTTTCAGCTCAACAGGTCAGTTGTATTATTCTCTATACTTGCTATTCTGTCAGCTCCTGCAATGTTTTATCATGATTTTTAGCTTCCTTGCATTGGGTTACAACATATGCCTTTAGCTCAGTGAACTTCACTTCTATCCATATTTTGAACTCTACTTCTGTCATTTCAGC
The DNA here is from genome assembly GCF_000001405.40 of Homo sapiens. Taxonomy (NCBI): domain Eukaryota; kingdom Metazoa; phylum Chordata; class Mammalia; order Primates; family Hominidae; genus Homo; species Homo sapiens. Next base: position 65,747,031 of record NC_000006.12, on the reverse strand, counting down.
CATCTCAGCTCAGCCTGCTTCTGAACCCTTGCTGAAGAAGCAATGCAGTCACTTAGAGGAAAGAAGGTACTCTGACTTTTTGAGTTTTCAGTGTTCTTGCACTGATTCTTTGTCATCTTTGTGGGTTTATCTACCTTCAATCTTTGAGGCTGCCAACTGTTGGATTTTTTTTTTCTTTTATTCTATTTGATGGCCTTGAGGGTTTGATTGTGATATAAGGTGGGTTCAGTCACCGGGCGTCATTCCTGGAAAATTTTAGTGGGCCAACATTCAGATCCCAACTCCTAGACTGCATGTACTAACTCTGGGGGACTTGTTTTGGGCCTCAACTTTGTTCTCTGGCTCCTTGAGAGTGGGAGTCTACTGCACTGGGAGGACCAATGTGCAGAAGCCTACAGCTGAGTGCTAGAGGATGTTGGGGTGCCTGCCTCCCTGCAGGCTTTCACCACAGTGTCAGAGGCAAAGCAGTTGGTGTGAGGGTCGGGAGTGGAGGACACCTGCTGGAGAACTTGTAAGCTGTTGCATTGGAGGTGGTGTTGGTTTGGGGTGGGTGCTGGGCAGCGCAGGTCTGGGTGCGTTCTGTGTGCCTTGCAACCAGGAGTGATCAGTTGGGGTGTGGGAGGATCCCCTGTTCTCAGTGCAGTGTTAGCACAAGATTTGGGGTACTGGCAGTGTTGGAACTTGCTGGCTGCGTACCCACCAAGGCTTTGTTTGCAATGGCAGTCAACAAGGGTCAGGGGTTGTACTGCACTCACACTTACTGGTGAGGCAAGTAAGGCAAAACCTGCTCGTGCAGACACATGCCAGCAAAGTAATGTAGGCAGTTTCTGAGGGCTCAGGAGAAGCTGCAGCATGGGGTTGGAGTGTGCAGGTTGGTGTGCGACTGTAGGGGTCAATCTCCTGGAGCTCCCCACTGATCAGGCATGATCCAACAGCACAGAAGCAATGGTGTGGAGCCCCAGGGCACCCAGGAGAGGCCAGCAAACCAAGAGTTCTCAGGTCAGATCAGCCCTCTCTGATGTGCAAGACCACCCTGCAGAGATCAGGTCTGACAATTCCCCTAGGGCTAAAGTCTCTTATGGGAGCAAGTCAAACCTAGAGGGTTGGTCATCCCTAGCCATGCTCTGCTGCAGAAGCTCCTGCACAAAACCCTGTGGGCTCCACATCAGTTGGCTTGCTGCTCCCCCACTTTGCTTGTCTCCTAAGGGCTCCACCCCGAAGAGATGTGAGTCAGCAATTGCTCAGTGCAATAAACCCAGGATGCAGAGTCTGTGCTGTGAGCTCAAGACTGGGGTTCTCTGTCTGGTGACAAGCAGTAAGGGGTGTTTGGGACCCATGGAAGTCAGACTGGTCTCCTATCCTTGGGTTGACCGCAGCTTGTTGGAGGTATAGATAAGGCACTTAGGGTCTTTGCTCCTTTGTTAGTCTAAGGGTAGTAAGGACAGTTCCACTGAAGAGGCAGTGGCAGAGAGGCTTTCAGTTTCCCTGGGAGGCTCTGCCCAGGGAGTTGCTGATTTGCTACTGACTTGACAGCTCTGGCAGAAGATGGCTAGAGGCCCAGGATTGGAGGACCTGCCCATTGAGGAGATATGGAAACAGGCAACCACATAACAGTCTGGCCAATTTTCCATAGGGCTGCTGCAGTATGCTGGGGGTCTGCTCTGGTCCCTAGTCACCTCAGATTTTCTGGTACCTAGAGGTGTCATCAATGAAGGCTACAAAGCAGCAAAGATGGTGGCCTGCCACTCCCTCTGGGAGCTCTGCCCAGGGAGTATGAGCTTGTTGCCAGCCTGAATGCACTTGTGGAAAGTGGCTGAAGACCCCAGTCAGGAGGAACAGGATTGGGGATCCACTTTAAAAAGTAGTCTGGTCACATTTTGATAGAGCAGCTGTGCTGTGCTGAGGGTCCACTTCAGCCCTCGGTCGCCTAGGGCACTCCGAAGCCTACAGGCTAAAAGGGCTAAGTTGCCCAAACAGCAAAACTAGTGTTTTGCCCCCTCTCCCTGGGCGCTTCGTCCCAGGGCGATGGGTTCTCTATCAGCTGGAGAACACTGGGAGGGGTGTCCAGAGACCCTGGTCGGGAGGTCTTGCCCAGTGAGGAGGAACAGTATTGGGAACCCATTTAAAGAAGCAGTCTGGCCACGTTTTGGTAGAGAAGTTGTGCTGTACTGGGGGATCCCTTTCACCCCCAGTCAGTTTCGACTGTCCAAAGCCGGAAGGCTGGAACAGCTAAGTCGCCCAAAGAGCAGAGATGGCAGCCCGTCCCTCCCTCTGGGAGTTTCATCCCAGGGAGGCACAAGGCTGCTAGAAGTTGCTGGCTGAAATTCCAATCCAGTGGGTCTTATCTTGTGTGGCCCATGGAAGTGGGGCCTGAAGGCCATTGCTGGTAGGCCCCTTGGATTCAGCCTCTTTCCTAGGAGTATGTACGGAGATCTAACATCCCTCTTTGCCAAAGTTGCAACTACTTTTGTTAAGACATCCAGAAAGCTGGAGTATCTAAAGCTCTTAGGTCTCTGTGCATGCCTGAGTGGCTGCTCTGCCGAGATTCCATGCAGTTGTGTGTGTCAGACTGAAGGCCTGGGTTTAGTGGAGTGAGTTTACAAGGGGATCTCCTGACCCAAAGGTTGCTAAGATCCATGGGAGAAGCATGGGTTCCTGGGGTTGCACATTCACTCACCACTTTCCTGGGTTGGGGAACTTCCCTTTGCTCCATGTCTCTCCTAGGTGGGCCATTGTCCTGCCTTGCTTTTCTCCATTCTCTATGGATCAAGTTGTTTCCTCGATTTATTCCAATGTGAGTAGCTGAATGTTTGAGTTGAAGGTACTGTACTTATTTGCCCCTTCTGTTCCCCTCCATAAGAGCCACACACACTAGCTGCTTCTAGTCGGCTCTCTTGAAAAGTCATCTAAAATAATTCAAATCATACAAAAATGTGTTCTCCACCCAAAATGGACTCTGACTATAAATCAATAACAGAAAGACAACAGGAACATTTCTCAACACTTGGAAATTAAATACTTCCAGATAATCCATATGTCAAAGAGTAAGTCTCAGCGAAAGCTTTTAACATTTACATAAAATAGAATGACGATGAAAATACAATACACCAAACGTATATATGGGATGCAGCTAAAGTAATGCTGAGAGGGAAATGTACAGCATTAAATGCTTACATTAGAAATGAGGAAAACATCAAATGAATAGTGTATCTCAACAGACTAGAAATTGTAAAGAAAAATAACCCAACACAAAGAGAAGGAGGAAAATTAAAAGTAGAAATCATTGAAATTGAAAATGAGAAAATAACAGAGAAAATGAGTGAAATATAAAGTTGGCTCTTTGAAAGGCTAATAAAATTGAGAAACTTGTAGCAAGCCTTGAAGCAGTATATATTTTAAACCCTTAGAAGCAACTGGCTTCAAAAATACTTTGGATTACATTAACAAAATTCCATCTAGAAAAGTTCTGCAGTTAACTCAGAACATGAAGATGCATGCCTTCTCTGGTTCTTTGGAAGAACATTGGACCAAACTTTTAAAACATTGTCTCTACAGCAAAGTCTACTAAAATATTTGACTGGATTCAAATTATGTTATCCACATTGAAAACTGCAAGTATATGGTAAAATGTGGAGAAATTTCCACTTTTTTTCTGAAAGACTAGAATATAATCTATGAATAAAATGTTGAAGTGTAAGAAAATAAAAGGCATATGTGCTGAAATATTCAGAAAATTCAGGAAAAAATTTTGGAGGAAATATGTACTTGGTTAGTTTATTTCATTTATCTGCAATATTATACATACTTCAGTCTTTTTGAGAACAGATTCTTACAATCTGTTCCATTTTAACTTTAAAATATATAGGTTCATTTATCATGACAATTATTATTAATATACACAAATTATTTAAAAAATTAAATTGCTTTCCCTATACTATCTAATTCAATAGAAAGGTACAATTAATTTTAAAGTCTTAATTATCTAATTTATATAAGAACCGTATTTATCATCTCTCTCTTAGAGTTTTCATATATATAAAGGCTTTTAGAAATGTATTATATTTGTACATCATCTAAATCAAGCTAAATAAAATAAAAGTATAAGAAAAATTGGTTGCAAAAGTTCAAATTTTGAAACATTTACTGCTGAGAAAAAGTATCATTTTATTCTTCTGGGTAAGCAAAAGTTATGTGCCACTACAAACCAACTGTAATAAAATCATATGAGGCAAGGAAGAGTACAATCTGAAATTTGAACAAGTTGCCCTCTGGTCAGAAAACATCACTTTTTTTTTTTTTTGAGTTGAAAAGGAAGAATAGCTTTTGAATCTCCACAATTAGGAGACTCCAGTTGAAATGCTACAAGGCCATATAGCCTACAGCTTTATTGTTCTCCTTCAGTTAACACACTGTAAGAAATAACTGACAGATTTTTGAAGCCAGACTTGTAGTGTGATATTTGTGCTTTTTCTCATCTGTGGATTGTATCATTTTCTGTATCATATTTTTTTTAGTCTGTGTTCTGATCACTGATTTATAATTTATGGAAGCTACACATATCTCCACTTATGTTCAATGCTGTGCAACACTGTGTGTTTTCTGTAAGCAATAATGCTATAGAATGTTTCTGGTATTCCTGTAATATTTTTGTAACCCAGAGTTTGAGGTGAATATACTTTATTCCACATTCAGAAATGGTTTATTTTACTAAAAAAAGGCTGTTTTTGTTTTTTGGTATTTGAAGTTAGAAGATGGTCTTTTTACTTCTTCATGTAATAGAAAATGGAAACCTAGTAGCTTAAATTGAAAAAAAAAAACAAACAAACAGAAACCTTCTTTGTATGATCAATGATTCCTACGACACAAGTTAACAGTGAAGAGAAAGTCATGAATACAATTTTGTTATGAATTTCAAGTAGGTGATTATTTAGCTGCTTATATGCCTATTTACTTTCCTGATTATGGTAGTCAATGTAGAACATCCGCTTATTTTTAATGGTAAGATTTTAACAATAATGGAAAACATTAAATATTAAGCTCAGGAAAAGGATTATGATTTGTATTTTATAGTTCAACATATTCTTTTTTAAATTCATAAACAAAATTTAAAAAATAGCAACTGTCTGTTAAATGTATTTGAACATTAGATCATTTAAGTTTTAGAAAGGTGACCTTGGGAACTTAGGAAAGATGATAGGATGTAGGAACTGGAACATGACGTATTATGTATGGAAATTCTCCCACATTTGCTGGAATTAACTAACTAATGTTGTCAATTCAATGCTGCTTATGTATGTATTCTCTACTCCTACTTTAACACTCTTGTCACAGTAGGACCTTCCAGGCTAAAACATGCCTGAGACCAGGCTGAACAATTTAACAGCTTATTGAATGTTAAAGAACAATAAATAATAAAAAAGTTACGAAAGATTTCAATATTTGGCAAGCAGTACATAACCTAATATCAGGTCTTAGAATTTCCCTCCTATCGTTTTGAGAAACTAGAATGTGTGCAAACTGTAGTAGAGAAGAGTGGCTTTTCCTACAGTGTAGAGTTTTGCTGAGAAGTGGCTGTTGAACATGAACTCTATTTCCAAGCTTTGCATTTAGTTGGGGCCATTCGGCTAAGGTTTGACCAATAGTGACTAAGAAGAAAATACATGTGCCACTTGTAGTCCTGGGCCTATAGACATCTCTCCAAATACTTCGATTAGTTTCCATCTAACACTGATCTCAATCCATCTATACTCTCTTCTGGTTAGACTCAGAATGATGCTCATTGGCATAACCTGCTCTTGCAGCCAGTATTTCCTTGTGTGATTAGGTCATTATAATATGATGAGAGGTTTAGTGTCCTCAAGTATCTTGTTCAGTCTGTCTTGAAGATCAATACAAAAACAACACCAAAGGTACACAATGATATCAAGCTTTTGTGCTAAAAAGTGTACTAAGACACAGATTTTCACCCCCCATTTTATTATAAAGTTCATTAACCCATATCTCCTTTTACTGCCCTTGTTCTTGTGATTCTGAGAATGTGTGTATATGTGTGTATGAATACAATACACATAGGCCAACAGTTCTGTCATTTTCTCTCTCTCAATATTGAGAGTATATAATACATATAGAGTATATGTATTATACTCTAATGTGAAAGTTTGAATAACATTTTTGTGAATTTTACCATCAATCATTTCACTCTTCCTACCACACACCAATTCCTTTTCTTTGCAGCCTTCCTCTAAGGTAAAGTAAACATTATTTCATTAGGTTTCATATAGATTTGAATAATAATTCCTGAATTATTATTATCTCTCGCTCCACTCTATCACACACACAGTATCTTCAGAGAAAATTCTCTGTCTAAAAGTAATAGAAAATGATACCAGACCACACACACAAACAAATGTTCAAAATGTTTAGCTTCTTAGATGTTAAATTACAACTGTCAGGATAAGGGAAACTTTTTTTAAACAAGAGAGTAATCAGGCCGGGCGCAGTGGCTCAGGCCTGTAATCCCAGCACTTTGGGAGGCCGAGGCGGATGGATCACGAGGTCAGGAGATCGAGATCATCCTGGCTACCGTGGTGAAACCCCGTCGCTACTAAAAATACAAAAAATTAGCCGGGCGTGATGGTGGGCACCTGTAGTCCCAGCTACCTGGGAGGCTGAGGTAGGAGAATGGCGTGAACTCGGGAGGTGGAGCTTGCAGTGAGCCAGTGAGCCGAGATCGCCGCACTGCACTCCAGCCTGGGCGACAGAGCCAGACTCTGTCTCAAAAAAAAAAAAAAAAAAAAAAAAAAAAAAAAAAAAAAAAAAGAGTAATCAAGTCCTTATCGATTTTATTTCTCAGAAAACATGTTACCCATCTTGAAAATAGAAACGAAAGGTAGTTCCTATTTTACTATTCCGATGAAGGCTTCAAGAATTTTTATATTTGCTTGCTTTGTGGTAGGAGGTTATATTTCTGTGAAATTAAACATACAATGATACGCAATTCACCATTTTCTGAACAATTTCTGCCATAATTAAGCAGTTCCTATGTGTTGCCTGAAAAAAATGTTGTGGAATGTTATCCTCAAAGCTGTGAAGCAGCTTCATTCCTCCTTCCCTTCGTAAGCTAACCTTTTTCTTATTTCATTTGAATGTGTAAATAAGTTTTCATGAAGTGGTGCCTGGCTCATTGTGAACAAATATACAACTGGCCTGGATTTTCTGGCACTTCTGTAACTCCTTAAAGGAGTATCCTCAACTTACGTTGGATCAATTTTACAGCCATTTCCCAGTGCCAGCTTTGGTACTGCCTAATCATACAGAACACATATGCTAGAGAACATGTATTGCAAAAGGAATGTCAAATGTCATGGCATTAGCCCAGTGTTTTTTGGTGGATTATTATTCCATCGAATCATCTCTAATAAGCCCTTAGGTCTGGGATTCTCTTTCTCCTCCTCAGGGTAACTTCCTACCAAATTGTGACTCTGCAGCTGCAATTCGATTACCTGCAGTTAAATGTATCAAAATGGGGAAAACTGTAGAAGGAAAAAGTTGATTATGCTGAGTACATCCTGAATGCTTTCATTTTCTATTGCTGCTATAACAAATTACCATAAATTTAGTAGCTTAAACAATAGAAACTTCTTATATTACAGTGTGAGAGGCCACAAGTTTTAAAAGGAAGGCTTCAGAAAGACTGTATTACTTTTGTAGGTTAGGGGAGAGTTTATTGTTTGCCTCTTTTAGCTTGTAGAGGCCACCTGCATTCCTTTGCTCATGGTCCCCTTCTAGCAATGACATCATCTGACCTCTGTTTCATCAAATCTCTATCTCTAATTTTGACCCCCTTGTCTCTCTTTCACAAAAAGGCTTATGGTTATATGAGATCCACCAAGATATCCTCAGAAAATCTCTCCACATGAAGATCCTTATCTTTACCACATCTGGCAAATCCCTTTTGCCATGTAAGGCATATTAGTTCATTCTCGTACTGCTATAACGAAATAGCTGAGACTGAGTAATTCATAAAGAAAAGAGGTTTAATTGGCTTTCAGTTCTGCAGGCTGTACAGAAAGCCCAGCAGCTTCTGCTCTGGGGAGGCCTCAGGAAACTTACAATCATGGTGGAAGACGAATGGGAAGCAGGCATGTCCTACATGGCCAGAGCAGGAAGATGGGGCAAGGGAGGGGCAACACACTTTTAAACAACCACATCTTGTGAGGACCCTATCATGAGAACAGCACCAAAGGGCAAAAATCTGCCCCCATGATCCCACTGGCTCCCACCAGGCCCAGCATCCAGCATTGGGGATTACATTTCATCTTGAGATTTGGGTGGGGACAAAGATCAAAACTGTATCTTAAGGTAACATTCTCAGGTTTTATGGATTAAAATGTGGACGTCTTTGGGTGATCATTATTCTCTCTACAACATGAGTGAATAGTGTTTTTGCAGTATCTATTAGACATCCTGGTAGACATATTAAGAGTTACTTGGATGTATAAACCTGAAGTTTACTGATGGGGTAGAGAGTGAAGTTATACATATATATATGAAAAGTATAAATTACCTTTGTGATTGTCCTATGATTAATTTTTTCTATCTAGGAGAGGGGAAAAATAGTATTACCTACCTTATAATATTCTAGTTAGAATGAAAACAAAAATATAAATACTAGGTAATGGCTTTTCTTATAGTTAGAAATTATAGCTATAGATGCAGTGTATTAAAAATCTTAAAATTCCAGAATTTATTTGGAGGAGGGTAAGGATGTGTAGAATCAAGAAAGTATAATGAAGTAAGAGGAAAACCAGGAAAAAAAAAAGTGGTCTCCTGGCAGAGTAGAAAGTATTTCAAGACTCAAGGAGGGAAAGACTGTATCAAATGTTATTATCAGAGAGTTCATCTTGCTTTGTTACATAAAGATACTATTTTTTTTTTTTAAACAGAGTCTCACTCTGTTGCCCAGGCTGGAGTGCAGTGGTGCAATGTTGGCTCACTGCAACCTCTGTCTCCCTGGTTCAAGCGATTCTCGATTCTTGTGTCTCAGCCTCCTGAGTAGCTGGGATTACAGGTGTGTGCCACAAAGCCCAGCTAATTTTTTTCTGGCTAATTTGTTTTGTATTTTTAGTAAAGTTAGGGTTTCACCATGCTGGCCAAGCTGGTCTTGAGCTCCTGACCTCAAGTGACCCACCTGCCTCAGCATCCCAAAGTGCTGAGATTACAGGGATGAGCCACCATGCCCATCCATAAAGATACTCTTAAAGGAAATATTTCAATAGAAAGTTGGGGGCAAAGATTGTCTGAAGTGGGTTCTAGGGAAAGCAGGAGGAGAGCAAGTAAAGACAGAAAATAGAACACTCTCATAAGAGTTTTGCTTTAAAGCAGAGTAAAGAAATACAGAAGTATCCACAGGTGATGGGGATAAATTAAGTTATATATATATAGAGTATATATATATATATATATGTGTATATATATAGAGAGTGTATATATATATATGTGTATATATATATAGAGTATATATGTATATATATGTGTATATATATATAGAGTATATATATATGTATATATATATAGAGTATATATATGTATATATATATAGAGTATATATATATGTATATATAGAGTATATATATATGTATATAGAGTATATATATGTATATATATATAGAGTATATATATATACACACACACATATATAGAGAGAGTGTATATCTATGTGTATATATATAGATATATATATAGAATGATATATATGGAATATATCAGAAAATCTTTGCATACTGCTGAGAATTGTCTAATTAAGAGAGAATAAGTTTGTTGTACGATGGAAAAGTGAATGATTTCTAGGGAAATGGCTGTAAAAGGGCATTTGGTTCTAGTGTTCAAGTGGAATTACTGGTCCTAGAAATATAGACAGTTTTCACCGTAACCCATGGAAAGACAAAGTATGAGCATCCAGATGTGAGGCAGTGTGGCAGGCACAGTAGTGGGAGCATGTAAAATTTCTTGTCTGATAGCTTTTATTTCACAATTATACAAGAAGAGAGAAAAAACCATGAAATGGTATTTTCATAGTGATAGTAAATTGTCTATAGAAATATTATATAATTATGAAACATATCTGATAACTCTGAGGTTGTAGTCATAAATTTAAAGGTGAGCTATTTAGCAATACTGACTGTTTTATCAAACAAATTAAGTTGTAAAGAAGTTCTGTCATGGACTAAGCAGAAAATAGGGTTTGCCATCGTTCGGATATTTAAATAAAATAAAAATGGAATGAGATTACAGATGGCTCTAGGAGAGCAATTGAAATGATGTACACTAGACTGTAAGATGAGTAAGGAGGGATGTGATACGAGGCCAATGGAGTTAGTGAAAAGTGGTAAGGTCAAAGGTTTATATGTTTGATTTATTTTGAAAAAACTGTTGAATAGTCATTTTAGTCTTCAATTTATAAGAAAAGTAGTAGAACTCTCACTTGAGTTACTATCTCACTGTTCCCTGATCCTGCTGTCCATCTGGTCACTATGATGCTGCTGACAGTCTCAGGGAGTCAAGTCTGTGTGTGATTTTGTACAAAGCTTGCATGTTGCAGTTTCTTTCAATCTTTTGGTTATTTCAGTGATCCTTACATTTTCTCAAACACAAAATAAAACCTGTTTCACAGACTTCTTGACAACCTCACAATTTTGATTGTTGGTTTTTTATTCTCCCAATTCATTCTGCTGTGTTAAATTCTGGTATTTTACTCTTGGTAATACCTTCCTGTATGCTTTTCATTGATGTAAATTTAAGGGGTACAAGTCGAGTTTTGTTCCATGTTTTGTGTGATGGTGAAGTCTGGGCTTTTAGTGTAACCATCATCCAAAGAATGTACATTGTATTCATTAGGTAATTTCTCATTCCTCAACACCCTCACTCTCCCACCCTTCTGGTTCTCCTTTGGACTATTATTCTAGACTCTATTTCCATGTGAATACATTATTTAGCTCCCACTTAGAAATAGGAACATGGGGTATTTGAAATTCTGGTTCAGAGTTGTTTCATTTAAGATAATACCCTTTAGTTCCATCCGTATTGCTGCAAAAGACATGATTTTATTCTTTTTATGGCTGAATAGTGTTTTATTCTGTATATGTACCACATTTTATTTATCCAGTCATTTGTTGATAGATGCTTAGATTGATTCTCTATCTTTACTATTGTGAAGAGTGCTGCAATAAACGTATAAGTGCAGATATAGTTTTAATATGTTGATATATTTTCCTTTCTGCTTTCCATGGATATTGCACTAATTTACATTCCCATCAACAGTGTTTAAGTGTTCCCTTTCCTCATTATCCTCACCAGTATCTTTTATTTTTTGACTTTTGACAATAGCCATTCTGTCCAGGAGAAGATTACATCACATTGTGGTTTTGATTTGCATTTCTCTGATAATGAGTAATGTTGAGCATTGTTTTTCATATGCTTGTTGGCAATCTGTATATCTTCTTTTGAAAAATGTCTATTTATGTCCATTGCCCACTTTTTAATGGGTTTATTTGTGTTTTTATTGTTGTTGAGTTACCTGTAAATTCTGGATATTAGTCCTATGTCAGATGCAGAGTTTGCAAATATTTTCTCCCACTCAGCAGGCTATCCCTTTACTTTGTTTATAATAATAATGATTAATGATAATTATAATGATAATAATTATTATTTGTGGTGCAAAAGCTTTTTAGTTTAACTAAGTCCCATTTGTCTATTTATATTTTTATTTTGCAGTGCAGAAGCTTTTTGGTTTAAATAAGTCCCATTGGTCTATTTTTATTTTTGTTGCTGATGCCTTTTAGTTCTTAGCCATGAACTCATTTCCTAAACCAATGTCCAGAGGTGTTTCCCCTAAGTTTTCTTGTAGTATTTTATCGTTTCAGGTCTCACATTTAAGTTTTTAACTCATCTTCTGTTGATTTTTTATATGGTGAGAGATAGGGGCCAGTTTTATTCTTCTGCATATGACAACCCAATTTTCCAAAATTTCTCAACAAAATACTAGCAAACAAAATCTAAAAATCACATTGAAAAGATAATACACCCTGACTGAGTGGGTTTTATTCCAGTGATGCAAGGATGGTTCAGTATATACAAATCAATAAATGTGATTCATCACATAAACTGACGTTAAAAACAAAAACCATGTGATTATCTCATAGGTACAGAAAATACACTGGATAAAATACAGCATTTCCTTCATGATAGAAAACTCAATGAACTTGGCATAGAAGAAACATCAAGCTGAAAACAAAATCAAGAAGACAATACCATTTATAATAGCTTTAAAAATTAATAAAATACTCTGGAATGTATTGAACAAAAGAAATAAAAGATCTCTACAAAGAAAATCACAAAACAAAGATGAAATAAATTTTAGATGATACAAACAAATGGAAAAACATTTCATGCTAATGGATCTGAAGAACTCATATCTGTTAAAATGACTGTATTGCCCAAAGCAATATACACATTCAATACAATCTCTATCAAAATACCAATGTCATTTTTCACAGAATTTGAGAGAACAATCCTAAAATTCATATGGAACTGATAAAAGAGCCTGAATAGTCAAAGCAATCGTAATCAAAATTAACAACACTGGAGGAATCACATTACCTGACCTCAAATTATAATACGAAGCTATGGCAACCAAAATAGCATGGTGCTGGTATAAAAGTAGACACGTAGATAAATGGAGCACAATAGAGAACCAGAAATGAAGCCACACATCTATAATCAACTGATCTTTGACAAATTCAACAAAAATATGCACTAGGGAAAGGACACATCTCCCTATATTTTTGCTTCTCTATTATTCCACCATATCATCTGTTTTATCCCCTTGAGGAAACACCCATTCTTTGATCCTTCATACTTTTCTAAATCTATAATATTCTTATATCTCATAGAACAAACAGCCTTTCCTTCTATCTGAGGAAAATCTTATTTCCTGTTTCTCCAAGAGCTTCTTCCATCAGTTATCTCATCTATTGTCTTACAGTATCTCTCCATGAACTTAACTATTTGTCAATAAACATAATCAAGTCTTTCTTATTCCCCTTTGTCAAAATATTTTTATACATTCCTTCTCATTATTAGCCAAGTTTCATAAAAGCTCAGTTTGTATACTATGAGTTTATTTGGCCTTCACCCGTGTCTCCTTCTACATCAGTCCAGCACATGTCTTCTCCTGCCACTAATTACTAATTCTTCCTGGTCAGCCCCACCAATTTCTTTCCAATTGCAAAATCTAATGGGTAAATTTTAGTCTCCTTATTTTGCTGAAATTCTTTGATGTGTTGGACTCTGTTCGTACCTACTTTGTATTAATTTCTGTTCTATCTTTGATCTTCCTTCACCGGGTTTCTTTTTACTGTTCTGATCATCTGTTCTTATCATCCTTTGTGTAAATTAAATATGTTCTTCTTTGGACTTTGTGGTTTTCTGTTTGATCCTGCCCCGGTGCTTTTCTCTCTGCATACTAATCTTGACAGTTCTTTCCACTGCATTTATTTTAACTCTTAAAGATTTTCAAATGTCTCTATTTTTGTCTTTGTCTTCAATTTTCAGACACTTATACACAAATTTCTTTTGCATAGACCACATTGCAGAGTTCAGAATCCATAACTTTCTTAGATTGCTTCTAATAATGTGTTATAGAGGTATAACTGTTTATGCACAACGTAAACTAGAATGCTAAACTATGAAATCTCATATTCTTTTTCCATGTATCCATAGCATAATACATTCTGACAGAAATGTTTTCTGAATATTTCTTTTAATGTTTAATGTTTTTCACTTTATTTCTATTTCCACTGCTTTTGTTCAGATCTCATCATATCTCTTTCAGAACAATTTATTTGCCACTATGTAGAGTTAAACCAAGTTTTCACAAGAAGAAAGTTTGAGTTTTTTTTTTAAAAAAAACTGAAAATCAATACTTGTTAAGCATTGCATGTTTGGTTTCCCCTAAAACACATACGTTAGTATTTAACCCCTAATTACATGGTATTAGAAAGTCAGATATTTGAGAGATAATTGAGTCATGCGGGTGGGGCCTCATGATGGGATTATTGCCCTTATAAATAGAGACATAACATTGCCTCTTGTTTTGCTCTCGTATAGAGGTATTTAAGAAGGTATTAGAGGGGTCTACAAGCCAGAAAGCAAGCTCTCACCAAACACCAGACCTATCATTCCCTTAATTTTTGATTTCCCAGCCTCCAAAACTCTGAGACGATAATTTTGTTATAACAGCCTAAACTGACTAATATAATGAGTGTACAACCTGACCACTATTTCTTTTTGTGTGTACATTTACACTGATATCTGCTCCAGTAATACTGAACTTTATGCTGTTCATTTACATACCACTTTTTATCGACTGGATCTTTGCTTGTGACTTTCTCTTCCTGGAAGAGTCCCCCTTACTTCATTTATCTTGCCAATTTTCATTCTTCATTACTTATTTCAAGTAACATTCCCTTCATTAAACCTTCCCTGAAAACTCAGATCATTGTAAGTGCTCTGTCAATCTCACTTAAAAATTTCTGTTTATATATCTGCCACCCCTCCTAGTAGTTGTCATACCTTTTTGGCAGAACTGTGCCATTCCTACAACAATTTACTATCTCAGCATATAGCATGGCACCTGAAACACTGTATGAATGAATACTCATACTAAGTCAAATGAATAGGACTACTTTTGCAGGGTCTCTTTGTTAGTAAAGCTGTACCTATCAGCCTCCAATGATGTAATTTCTGTTTATGATAATAGTTTATATTTCTTGAGTATCTACTGTGTGACAAGCATGCTTCTGAGATTTTTTATATTATCCCTTCAAAGTGATTATTATTTTTGTTTTTCTTATCCCTATTTTCTCAGGTGAGAGAACTGGGTCACAGAGAGTTTGAGGTATTAATGATCACAAAATTAGTAAGAGAGGAAGATTGAGTTCAGCACTTGAAAGTCTTGATCAAATGCAGTTGCTCTGAATCTCTACTCTTGTATGGTGAATTTTCAACTTCAATTTTCTGACTAGAGATTAAAACAAAATATATTACTTTTATTTACTTAGAGGTCAAAGTTAGGTGAGTGATGAGTCTACATTTAGCTATATATACCTATATGTCAATATTAATCTTAAAAAATTAATCTCCACATACAGATAGAGTAATGGTGATCTTTGATTACCTAAATTTGAAATACATAATACCAGTAAATGAGTCTCAAAGAACAAGCACTATGGCTGCAAAAGGCTATTCAGAGGCAACATCCCAGCAGAGACAGCAATCCAATAATGCTCTTACATTTTATTGTTGTTTAATGCAACATGTTATCAAGCATAAGCTATTATAAGACTGCGCGAGGAGAAGCCAAGACAGTAGGATCCAAGAAAGAAAGGTTCAGTGACAAAAAATGGATAGAAAAGTAGGTCCAGGGAATTTAAAATAAGGTGGTCTGAAAAGGCCCAGGCATAGAAGGCCAGGCTTGTACTATACAGCACAGCACATGTGGGAATGCTCGTTGGAGTACCCTAGATCCAGTATAATCTTTTCATTATGAGTGTTACTATGGTTTTAAATCGATTTTGTATGGGGTTTCCTTTTGAGCTTTTAGGAAATTTTGGCAGTTCAAACTGAATTTCCTACCGGGAAATAAAAATCATTTTCCCCTTTTAGACAGACATCCTCTGTTACCTGACATACATAATACTTCAAGTTCATGGGGACCAAAAGAGAATATACAGAGGTCACTCACACTCAGCTTAGAAGTTTTGTTTTGTTAAATAAAGTAATACTCAAATATTTTTAGGTAAACTTTATGCTTGTTATTTTATTACAGTCATGGAGTCAAATATTGTCCATGAGTCCTATCCCCTAAATGGAACCCTGAAAAATTACCTGTTGATAGAGAGGTCATAAAGCTCTACAAATAGTAAAATTGGGCATTCTTTCAGGGGAGCTCTAAGCGCATTGTAACCTCATTTGTCTGCCTTTGAACTAAAGATCTCTAGCAGAGGAGACCTGGAGAAGTGATATAGGCAACACTTAAGTGCCACTCTCCAGGCCACGCAGCTTCTGAGGTGCTTTCACTTGTCTCTCCTACACAGTATATTTAAAACCAAAAAACAAGAGAAGCCCTTCCTCAACAATTTTTGGATCTTGGTGTTTAAGAAAAGCCAACTTTAGCTTATTTAGGTTTACTCTGTAAAATGTGAAGCTCGTAAGGTCTTAATACTAATTGTCTTCATTTAAAAATGTGTAGATTCTCAAATTTTTTCTCAATTCAAAAGTTTCTTTACTGAAAATACTGGATAGAGTGAGACAATACTGCTAGGTGTTTTTGGCTTTTTTGGACAATGCTTTAACCTTTTAACTGCTGAATATAGAAACAATAAGTAGCCAGGAATGACCGTCTTCAGCCATATTTGAATTCTAATCCATCACTCATCTAGCAAGGGATTAGACAGAAAATGATATGAATGCCTGTTGCTATGTTGCTTAGCACAACATTCTGTGCATGCTTTTAAAATACTGTAGATCACATTATAGATGTCGTCTTCTTATCAAAACTTTCCCCAAGTAGCCTACTCTACATGCTATAACTTTTGTTTCCTTGTTAAATGGTTATTGAATATCTGCTATGTAATACATTGTAAAACTGGAGACTTTCTCATGAGTGCCCCCTCCTATTTGGCTGAATATAGTTGTTCTTTGGATTAAATAACACTGATAATGGTAACAGTGGTGGCGAGCACAAAGGGAGTGGTGCCTCTTTGTGTGCTTTGCTACTTACAACCCAATAAGTGCTTTGATGTATGTTTATATCAATCTGAGGTGTATATTATAATATTACCAATATGAACACACTGAACCTTATAAAGGTTAAGTGTCTTGACAAAGTCACAAAGCTAATAAGCCATGGAATCAAAATCCAAACTGAAGCTGTCTGATTGCAAAGCCGTTTTTTTTTTTTTTTTTTTTTTTTTTTGAGACGGAGTTTCACTCTGTCACCCAAGCTGGAGTCAAGTGGTGTGATCTTGGCTCACTGCAACCTCTGCCTCCTGGATTCAAGCAACTCTCGTGCATCTGCCTCCCGAGTAGCTGAGATTACAGGCACCCACCACCACACCCAGCTAATTTTTATATTTTTAGTAGAGACAGGGTTTCACCATGATGGTCAGGCTGGTCTTGAACTCCTGACCTCTAGTGATCCACCTGCCTTGGCCTCCCAAAGTGCTGGGATTACAGGCATGAGCCACCACGCCCGGCCATCTTTAACTCTTGTTAAAAATCTTTAATTCTTGTAAAACTGTATCCATAAATCCAAACTCCTTATGGAGTTTGGTAAGTTATGGTAAGGTAAATGCACCCACTTCACTTGATCCCATTATGTTTACCTCATTTTTCTTCCACCTCTGCTCTAATAACATGAGTATAACGTGCACTCATTTTTTTTAATTTCAAAATTTGTCATTGTCTGTGCTCAGAATGACGTCCTCCCCTTTGGCTTTCCTTTTCTTAAGCCTCATCTCTTTCAGGAAGCTTTAAATCTTCCAGGTTATGATTAGTGTCAAAATCTCAGAACATTTAGTTTATGGTTGTGCAACAAAAGACTTCAAGAGAGAAAGAATAGAGTTTAAACTTGCCAGCTTAACTTCCTTAACTCCTCTGGGTTAAGGAGCCATCCAGACGAAGGGGTGGGAAGGAGGCAGGCGCCCAGCAGTGGGTATGCTATCCCCAGGCTGAGCCTCCCTTTCTAGAACTCACTCAGTTCTACTCCATGGGGAAAAAAGCAAGAGGATCAATTTGCTTCCTGTCAATCCTTCAGAAGAAGGAGAACAAAAAGATCTACAAAAACAACCTTGGGCTACAGTGAGATATTGTCTGGCCTGAATTATTGAACTGATCAGGAAGGTTTTTTATAGGGTCCAGAGTACAAAAGAGTAAAAGCAGCTGCTGTTTCACTGTCAAAGGAGGGGGAGTGGGAATATTAAAGTTGCAGATAAACTGGGCCTGAAGTAGTGAATCCCTAAGACAGCAGTGCAGGCACTGATACATAAGACAGCAATCGTGAGTCAGTAGCCTAAGTGAGAATAACAGCCCTGGAGAAGCTTTGTCTTGGTGGCATCAGGGTCATATCAATGTGGCATTTGTCCTTGGTAGTGCCAGCATCAGTGGTAGGAGGCCTCCAGCTACTTAGAAGCTGCTGGACTCTATCTAAGTACAATGGAAACTAAGAGACCACGAGGATGTGAAAATTCTGAATTTACCTTTCTCAACCCCACCATTTTGGAGGTAGAATTCGAACTAAATGAAGTCTGTTGCTACTATGCTATATTAGAAAATATTTATTGCTTTTTGTAAAACCTCAACTGTACCTTCAGACTAATGTAGTCTTATTGAAAACAAAATAAAACCTGCTACTGTTGCTGATTAAGTTTACATAACTTTTGAATGTATTAATACACCTTGACAAATTTTCTTGTAATTATAAACATATTTTATTTCTTTAATGAATAAATATTTATTGAAGTCCTACAATGCTAAGAACCAGGCAGACGTTGGTGACGTGTCTCCTGTATTTATGGAGCTTAAAGTCTAGAGAAGAATCAGAGTAAATAAATAAATAAACAAATATATAATTACAAGTTGTGATAAGATGAATGAAGAAAATGGATAGAAGAAGGGGAGAGCAGTAATGATACGAGGAGTTCAGTAGGTATTTGGATAAGGAGATAAGGGAAGATACTTAGGCTGAGACTTAATGAATGAGAAGGCCTCCAAAACATGTACAGGGCAGAAGGGTGGTTGGAGAGCATTAAGCCCTTTAGGTGGCAAGGTGAGGAATCTGGAGTGGCTGGAGCACACTAGACAAGAGGAAGAACTGAATGAGATATAGACAGAAACTTAGGCAGGGGCTAGGTCAGGGGGAGCTGTGTAGGCCAAGATGGGGATATTAGATTCAGCTTGAAGAGGGGATAAGGTCATGGACTGAAACCAGACTTGGTGAATAGAACCTAGCTTGTAACACTTACTAGATATTTGAACTTTGGGGAAGTTATTTATCTTTTCTGTACCTCAGATTTCTCACCTGTAAATATGGGGATAATAAGCATCTACTTCATAGGCTTGCTTTGAGGAATATTTGAGTTAATGAATGTGAAGTGCTTAGATTAGTATCTTGCTCTGTGTGTGTGTGTGTGTGTGTGTGTGTATGTGTGTTTGTGTGTGTGTCTCAAGGATTTTAATCAGGAGATGATATGGCCAGAGTTCAGTTTTAAAGATATAATCCTTCCTGTCTGGTGGGAAATAGCATAAGGAAAAATTGAAATGGAGAAGACAAATAAGACTGTTTTAGGGTTCTGATATAACACTTTGACATTCAATATTATTCACAAATTCTGCAATACCCTCTATTTGTCCTGTCACTCTTCTATTTTTGAATGCCTTTACTTTGCTTGACTATTTAGTATGAAAGTCATGTGTTAGTGGCACAAATTACCTTGAATGGCTATATCATCCCTCAGAGAACAATTGCAAAGTCTTTTGTTTCTTTTAATTACAAAAATATTTGGAATAAAATTGTTTCTAGCCATATGCGGAAAACTGAAACTGGACCCCTTCCTTACACCTTACACAAAAATTAACTCGAGATGGAGTAAAGACTTAAAAGCAAGACGTACAACCATAAAAACCTTAGAAGAAAACCTAGGCAATACCATTCAGGACATAGGCATGGGCAGAGACTTCATGACCAAAACATCAAAAGCAATGGCAACTGAAGCCAAAATTGACAAACGGGATCTAATTAAAGTAAAGAGCTTATGCACAGCAAAAGAAACTATCATTAGAGTGAGCAGGCAACCTACAGAATGGGAGAAAATTTTTGCAATCTATCCATCTGACAAAGGGATAATATCCAGAATCTACAAGGAACTTAAACAAATTTACAAGAAAAAAAAAATCCCATCAAAAAGTGGGCAAAGGATATGAATAGACACTTCTCAAAAGAAGACATTTATGTGGCCAACAAACATATGAAAAGAAGTTTATCATCCCTGGTCATTAGAGAAATGCAAATCAAAACCACAATGAGATGCCATCTCATGCCATTTAGAATGGCGATCATTAAAAAGTCAGGAAACAACAGATGCTGGAGAGAATGTGGAGATGTAGGAATGCTTTTACACTATTGGTGGGTGTATAAATTAGTTCAACCATTGTGGAAAACAGTATGGCGATTCCTTAAGGATACAGAACCAGAAATACCATTTGACCCAGCAATCCCATTACTGGGTATATACCCAAATGATTACACATTATTCTACTATAAAGACACATGCACACGTATGTTTACTGCAGCACTATTCACAATAGCAAAGGCTTGGAACCAACCCAAATGCCCATCAATGATAGACTGGATAAAGAAAAGGTGGCACATAAACACCATGGAATACTATGCAGCCATAAAAAGAAAGGATGAGCTCATGTCCTTTGCAGGGACATGGATGAAGCTGGAAGCCATCATTCTCAGCATACTAACACAGGAACAGAAAATCAAACACCACATGTTCTCACTCGTAAGTGGGAGTTGAACAAAGAGAATACATGGACACAGGGAGGGGAAAATCACACACCAGGGCCTGTCAGGGGGTGGGGGGGCTAGAGGAGATATAGCATTAGGAGAAATACCTAATGTAGATGACAGGTTGATGGGTGCAGCAAACCACCATGGCACGTGTGTACCTATGTAACAAACCTGCACGTTCTGCCCCTGTATCCCAGAACTTAAAGTATAATAAAAAATTGTTTCTAATTAATTCATCTATTCGATAGACATTTATTGAAATCTAAGTATGTGTTAGAGATTATTCTAGGGGCTTAAAATATATAATGAAGCAAATTCTGTTTTGTGAAATTTATATGTTATTGGGTAAGGCAAAATAGTTACATGACATAGTTGAAAATTCTATACCTGAGAAATAGTTACTCAAAAATATAAAATAAGGATGAATTCCATCACAATCTTTTTTTTATATTTGTCCAAGGCAACCTTAGTGTTCCCCTTAACTTGACTATGCTTCAAAAGCATTTCTTTCTGACTCTAGGCCCTGATGTCCCTTTTCTTTGAGCATTTACTTTAGAAAACTTGTAACTGTAAATTATTTATCTGCCTCTTTGGGAGTAAATCTTCTTAAAAGCCTTTTGCCAGTTTTATGACCTAGGAATGTCTTGTTATACGACCTGAAAGTCATCCCTTTGAAATCTCCAAAGAAGATTGTGCCCTATTTCCCAGTTTCTGAAGGAGGGTAATTGTCTAATCTCTGGTGGCACCGATTAGCGAGCACCGATGCCCTAATCACAGAGAAAAACATTTGCAAACTCAGGAATAACTCAAGGCAGTCCACACATTCCATTGGTCCCCCCTCAAAATTCTCTAGTCTTTCTCACTATTCGCTCCAGAAATTAAAAACCTTCCTTCCTTTAGTTTTAGGAGAACTGAATTAAACTATATTCTGGTGTCTCTCCTGTATTTAAATAGCCTAAAGTCTTCCTTAACACTTTAATTTTCCTTCCTTAACACTCTAATTTGGGGGCAAGTTTTGCTTTGGCATAGGTATATAAAGCTATAGCACAGTTTACAGATAGTTGATAAAATGCAATTTTGTTGTGGAGTTTAACATAATAATCTAAAGAAAAGGAAAAAGTGAATGTGTGTGAGCATGTGGGTGTGTGGGTGTGTAAAATACATTTTCTAAAACAGCATCAATGTAGTCAAAAATTAATGTCTAAAATTTCTGGAGAAACAAAGTTCAGAAGTCTTTATTGTTTTCAGTAAGATAAAAAATGTTCCAAGAATCATTAAAAACTAAATTTAAATCCCTGAAAAAATGAAAACCAAGAGAAATTGATCTTAAAAGAGAAGTGCCTTGACAGTATATTCATACGTGCAACTTATGAGTACAACTTTAAAAGATTTGTGTCTTTAAATGTCAATGTATACCAAAGCATATTGGAAGTATAGTACATAAATTACGTTAGTCTGGGCATAAGGTATCTCTAAGTAATGAAGTAATTTTAAATCAATGCATTTAAAATTTAAAGTAGTCAATGGGGAAATTTAATTGTGAAATTCATTCTTATTATTTTAACTTGACATGAATTCTGTCAACTAGTTTGAGCCAAATTACCATATATATTAGACCTATTCAGGTGGTAGACAAAAATTACATTAATTTGGGTTTTAAGAGAGACTTGCAGGCTTTAACATTTTAAGTTCAAGAAATGAAGGAATGCATAACTGTAATGTATAGCCTAAGTGATAATGAGTTAATGAGTCTCAGTGCCTTACAAATAGTATTCCTCACCTTGGACATACAGGCAGTTGGTATTTAGTTGGTACTAGCTAAAGAAGCAAAAATACACACAAAAAAGTCAGGAGCCAGAGTTTTTCCTTTTGAGTTAAGTGAGATGACTTGGCAGCTGACATCAGTGATTTAATATCTAACAGACATTTCAGTAGCCCCGATGATTTATCCTATATATCACTGAAGAGTAGAAAAATAAATGTACATCACATCTGCATGACAGTGATAAACACAATTCAATTTCTGAATCTATGACAAGAGCAGAAGAACCTGCTTGAAACTAAAATTAGGCGTATATTCAGGCTATTCTGCCTGTAAATATTGCGTGTTAATTTACCTTTGTTCAGAGAACCTTTTTGAATTAAATTGTAATGGAAACAACTTGTGCAAATAGTTCTACCTTAAATAATTTGTGTTCTGATGTTTAAACAGTATTTACTGTACTATCAGATTATCCATTAAAGAAAAGAAAGTATTCATGATATCATTAAAAATCACCAAAATATACTAAAAACAAGTTTTAACTGAACTGTTCCTGATAAGGTAAAATTAAATATAAAGACACATATATAGATGGGAAAACTGAAATAACTTAGCAATGGTATTCTGTTATCCCTATTACATTTTTCAAGGCTGTTATTTTGCAAGATTTCGGCAAATTCATTGCATGTTTTGTTAAAATTAAAATGTACTAAGAAGTCCAATAATAAAGATCCTCCTATGCACATATATACATATCTGGCTATGAAAAAACTTTTCTATAATTAATTAGTTGCACACAAGTTAAGCTTTGTTAACCTAAGCCCTATTATTGTTAGCTTTAATGTAGGCAAAGAAAGAAAGACAGATTTGGAGTATGAAGAATTGCTTGGGATGCATGTGCCTCAGTAGGGGAACGCATAACTAGGAACAACCTCAAGGCTACACAAGGACAACAACGGGGAGATGGCTTGGGATGGTAAAAATAAATCACAAAAGGGGATGAAGAATGAGTTCACAGATAAACAGGACTCACTTAAGATGCTTAATAATTTTCTCAGTATTATTGTCTAATTAAATCCTTGTTGACTTTTCTGTTTATGTTTCGTAGAGAATCTGTAGTTTATCAAGAAGATTACACAACTAGCTGTGTAATTAATTACATTCCTGACACAATAGGAAAATATAAACTTCATATTTTTTGATACAAAGGATAGAAGTTGTCTCTATTTTTGGTAGAAGGAAGTATTCGAAGTAAAAATTAAAAAGTTTCCTCAGGATCTTGTGAATATGGTTTGTATTTGCATGGCTGGGAAATTGCAAATAAATGCATTCTGGCTAGAGTCCAAAGGAACCTAAAATTTTATTTAACACATATTTCTCATTAAAGAAAAAAAACCTGTTCCAATGAAAATAGACAGATACTTCTAATTATTTCCCTTTTATATTAATAAGTAAAAATACTTATTTATTTTTTTTTTGAGACAATCTTGCTTTGTCACCCAGGCTGGAGTGAGGTGGCACGATCTTGGCTTACTGCAACCTCCACCTCCCAGATTCAAGTGATTCTCCTGCCTCAGCCTCCCCAGTAGCTGGGACTATAAGCATGCGCCACCATGCCCAGCTACTTTTTATGTTTTTAGTAGAGATGGGGTTTCACCATGTTGACCAGACTGGTCTTGAACTCCTGACCTCAGGTGATCTGCCCACTTCGGCCTCCCGAAGTGCTGGAATTACAGGCATGAGCCACTATGCCTGGTCTAAAAATACTTATAATAGAGTAGTTACTCCATTAATACTGGAGTAATGAGCCTTAACTGTCGATGGCGCTTATGACCACCAAGATGTCTGTGATTCAATACTTTACAGTATAATGTGACCAAATAAAACAAAGTTTTTCAATGATTTTTAGAAATAAGATATTTTTATGAATGAATATAATGTTTAACTTACCTTTATCATTTTTATAGAAATATACTTTGATCAATATTTAATGCAGAGCATTTATTTTGTACTTGCAATCTTAGTATACTTATAGAAAGTGTCACACATAAGATACATTAAAGTATTATCTCAGTGAAGTAAATTTTATTAAGTACAACTTTCTCTTAGTCATCATTACCTGAATGAAAAATATATGATCTCCTCAGTGAAGTCATTCTCAAAACTTGAGAATCTGGGCTAGTTAACATAAAATATTTAACATCATTGACTTGAATACCCACTTTTCAAAATTTAGGTCTAGAATAACTACTTAGCTTTTAGTGAATTAAATTTAATACAGCTCAGAAGGATTTTATTATATAAAAGGCAGTAAACTACTTAAGACAAACACAACTCACTGATATTATCTAGGAAATTGAAATAGTAAGAAAAAATGAGTAAGAAAAATAGAAAAAAATTAACAAAATTCCTGTTTGCCAATGAAAGTAGAAGATACTAAAAGGCTTAAGTTAGATGCCTGTAGATAAAATAAAATCTTTTTTTCATAGAAATATAGGAAAAATTTATAATCTATGAACAGTTAAAAATGTGGTAAAGGGTAAAGCAGGAGACAGGAGCAGTTGCTTCAAGTGCAGGCTATAGTAAGAAATATTTCATGGTAGTAAATGGTTAATTAAGTGTAGTTTAATAATGGCTAATATTCAGGTCTGAGTTGCTGTTTATACAGTACAATACTATCAGTTTTCATCATTTTCCTTAAATCGTCAGTAAAATATTCCACAAATACCACAGCCTCATTTTAATGGTATTTTGAAAAGTCAGGAGTTGGGGTAACATCTATTGCTGATCAATATTGTCTGGAAATGTAACACCAATAGGAGTCAAGAGCAGAGATGCAGAACTTGGTGGAAGTGAAAGGCTAAAGATTACAGGAGAAAGACATAAGGAATCATAGTAGACTCACTCCCAACAATCCAAGAATAAATTATGGAATATACTTGTTCTCTCAATATATGAGGATTCATGTTGTCTTAATTAACTACTAAAGAAGAGGGATACCATCTTATACCAGTCAGAATGGCTATTGCTACAAAGTCAAAAAAACACAGACACTGGTGAGATTACAGAGAAAAAGGAACACTTATACACTGTTGGTGGGAGTGTAAATTAAACACTTATACACTGTTGGTGGGAGTGTAAATTAATTCAACCATTTTGGAAGTCAGTATGGTGATTCCTTAAAGACCTAAAGACAGAAATACCATTCCACCCAGCAATCCCATTACTGGGTATATACCCAAAGGAATATAAATCATTCTATCATAAAGATACATAAACGCATATGTTTTGTATCACTAGTCACAATACCAAAGACATGGAATCAACCTAAATGCCCATCAATGATACACTGGATAAAGAAAATGTGGTACATGTATACAATGGAGTACTATTCAGCCATAAAAAAGAACAAGATCATGTCCTTTGCAGGGACAAGGATGATCTGGAGGCCATTATCCTTAGCAAACTAGCGTAGCAATGGAAAACCAAATTCCACATGTTCTCATTTATAAGTGCAAGCTAAATGATGAGAACACGTGGACACATAGAGGGGAACAACACACACTGGGGTTGATCAGCAGGTTGAGGGTGGGAGGAGGGAGAGGATTAAGAAAAGTAACTAATGGGTACTAGGGTTAATATCTGGATGATGAAATAATCTGTAAAACAAATTCCATGACACAAGGTTACCTATGTAACAAACCTGCATTTGTATGCCTGAACTTAAAATAAAAGTTAAATTTAAAATAATAATAATAAAACAAAAAAGAAGATGGTTATAGCAATACTTTGAAGAAACTTAGTACCCAGAGGCAACAGACATTTTGTTTCCAATTACATATATGAATATGTTATACTAAGATTAGTGAATGACTATTAGATATCTAGTTCTAAAAATAATGCAGTTTTATCTTTGTTGAAGTTTAATCATTATGACTACTAGCTATAGCTATTCCTGTGTATAGGTAGAGAGTAATAGAAAACAGATATCTTTCAAAAGTTATCTTAACAAAAAGCCTGAAAATAATTAAACTTGGAAACTATTTCATAGAAGTGTGTGTGTGTGTGTGTGTGTGTGTGTGTGTATAAATTCCAGTGAAATTTCACAGGGACCTTTCAAATATTGTCTATTTTTAAAAGCCTTTATCAAATCATTTCACTTGAAATGTTCATTCATCTGTCTGCTTAATACCCATTCTTATACAAATATCTGTATTGCATTCTGTGTGGAAATTTTCTTAACCTTTTTTTTACTATTCTCATAGGTAAGCAATTGATTCACAATTTCAAATAAAAAATGTAAACAACCCTGATTTTGGCATTTGTTTTTGAAATAAAAAGCTAAGACCAAATTTACATATGACAAAAACAGCAGTACATTCTAAATCAGCAAAAAATCATTTATTTATGATTTGTATTATTTGTATGTACCCCCAAGTAATACCGATGTTGTTAAAAAATTAGTTTTTGTTGTTGCAATTGCCTAATACTTATTTTTATGCTCAAAGCAAAATATTAATGTAACAATATTTAAATGAATAATTCTCATTTTTGATGTCAGAGTTAACTTAAGCATTGAACATCATGTGTTTTCAAAAATATGGATAACACTATATACTTTGCCTAAATACAATAAAAATATATTCTTAATATTTAGTAGGACATGCGTACAGTCAATTAACTTCTTTATAAAAATGATACTGGAATTTGAGTATGAAATTCTGTAGTGGAATATACAAGTAATAAAAAAAGGTGCAATTTGCAATTACTAAAACTTGATCAATCAGTTTTTTAGACTGTGTTTATTAAAACTTCAACTTTGGCTTAATTTTAATTTAAATCATTGCATTAATTAGTAATCTGTAACTCTCTTTTAGTAAGTAAAATAGTTGTTTTTCTTGGCAACATGGAAGCTTTAGTAAAAGTTTATTAGGTATGTTGCCCTGACATTCTATTTCTCTGAAAGGATGATCAGGTTAAGATGTCACAACCTTTTTACTGAAAATGCCAAAAATGCACACTTATTAAAACAGCTCTCAATTTCCCATATGAAGATAATAAAACTTATGTCCTCTAAAGTTTACCCATTTATTTGACAGACAATTAATTTGTAGATGAATTTTATTTACTTCTAAACCACCATGTAAATGCATGCTTATTATTGGTGTATGTAATAGTCTGTTCTCACACTTCTGTAAAGAAATGCCCAAGACTCGATAATTTATAAAGGAAAGAGGTTTAATTGACACAGTTTCTCATGACTAGGGAGGCCTCAGGAAACATACAATCATGGCAGAAGGGGAAGTAGGCACATCTCACATGGTCGCAGGAGGGAGAGAGAGAGAGAGTGTTTAAAGGAGGAACTGTCAAACTCATGAAACCATCAGATCTTGTGAGAACTCACTAAAACAAGAACAGTATGGGGGAAACTGTACCCGTGATCCAATCACCTCCCACCAGGTTCCTCCCTCTACACTTGGGCATTTTGAGGATTACAATTCAAGATGAGATTTGGGTGGAGAC
Source organism: Homo sapiens (assembly GCF_000001405.40). Lineage (NCBI taxonomy): Eukaryota > Metazoa > Chordata > Mammalia > Primates > Hominidae > Homo > Homo sapiens. Next base: position 65,719,111 of record NC_000006.12, on the reverse strand, counting down.
ACAGAACCAAACCATATCAGTGTAACTAATCACAATTTTAATAGTGTGTATGTGAATCTGATAAATACAGGCTATAAAACTGTACAACATGTTACTATAATGAATATTGTAGGCAACTGTAACACAATGATAAATTATTTGTCTACCAACACCTATCTAAAAATGAAAAAGTACACTGAAAATATTGCATAAAATATAAAATACAGTACACCTGTATAGGGCACTTACCATAAACGGCACTCATAGGACTGGCAGTTGCCCTGGGTGAATCAGTGAATGTGTGGTGAGTGAATGTGAAGGCCTAGGACATTATTGTACACTACTATAGACTTTATAAACACTGTATACTTATACTACAGTAAATTTAAAAGATTTTTTAAATAATAAATTAACCTCAACTTACTGTAACATTTTTACTTTATAAACTTTTAAATTCTTTTTTAACTTTTTGACTCTGGTAACAACACTTAGCTTAAAACAAACACATTGTACAGTTATACAAAAATGTTTTATTTCTCCATATACTTATTCTATATGTTTTTCTCTAATTTTAATTTTTAATATATTTTTACTTTTTAAATTTTTGTTTAAAACTAAGAAACACACACATTAGTCTAGGCTTACACAGAATCAAAATCACCAAGATGCCACTAGGTAATTTAAATTTTTTAGCTCCATTATAAACTTATGAGATCACCGTTGTATATGCAGTATATTGTTGACTGAAATTTTATTATGTGGTGCATAACTGTACTTACTTTGTAAAGTTGCTATTGTGAGAATACAGTTGTATATTATGTGAAAATGCTAACATCAGGCGTGACAAAAATTAGGTACTCAAAAATATTCATTTTATTTGTCCTTCTCTTTCTTTTCTCTTGACCCTTTGCTTATTGTTTTTCTTTTTAATACACTTAAAATTTTTCAAATTATTTCTGGTATTAATGAGAGGTTTAATTAGTCATAGCATTTTTATTGAAATTATCCTTCTTAATGCCATGATTATTAATATATGGATAATGAATCATTGTTATTTTCAAATGTTGAAGTCAGTAATTCTAAGTCTAGACCTAGAAAATGTAAAATTTAACTAATTAAAAAGGAGGGTGGCTTTGCAGTTGTATTAGTTTGTTTTCATGCTGCTGGTAAAGATATACCTGAGACTGGGCAATTTACAAAAGAAAGAGTTTTAATAGGCTTACAGTTCCACATGGCTAGGGAGGCATCACAATCATGGTGCAAAGTAAAAGGCATGTCTCACATGGTGGCAGACAAGAGAAAAGAGCTTGTGCAGGGAAACTCCCCTTTTTAAAACCATCAAATCTTGTGAGACTTATTCACTATCACAAGAACAGTATGAAAAAGACCTGCCCCCATGATTCAGTTACCTCCCACCAGGTCCCTCCCACAACACATAGAAATTCAAGATTAGATTTGGGTGGGGACACAGCCAAACCATATCATGGCACCTCAGGCTCCTCCCAAATGTCATGTCCTCACATTTCAAAACAAATCATTCCTTCCCAACAGTCCTCCAAGATCTTAACTCATTTCAGCATTAACTCAAAAGTCCACAGTCCAAAGTTTCACCTGGACAAGGCAAGTCCCTTCTGCCTATGAGCCTGAAAAATTAAAAGCTAGTTAGATACTTCCTAGGTTCAGTGATGGTACAGGCATTGGGTAAATACAGCCATTCCAAATGGGAGAAATTGGCCAAAAAAGAGGCTGCAGGCCCCATGCAAGTCTGAAATCCAGCAGTGCAGTTAAATCTTAGAGCTCCAAAATGATCTCCTTTGATACCATGTCTCATGCCCAGGTCACACTGATGCAAGAGGTATGCTCCCACAGCCTTGGGCAGCTTCATCCTTGTGGCTTTTGCAGGGTCTGTCTCCTTTCTCAGCTGCTTTCATGGGTTGGCATTGAGTGTCTGGCTTTTTCAGGCACACCGTGGAAGCTGTGAGTGGATCTACCATTCTGGGGTCTGGAGGATGGTGGCCCTCTTCTCACAGCTCCAGTAGGCAGTGCCCCAGTAAGGACTCTGTGTAGGGGCCTCACTTTCATCTGCCAAAGGCAGGAATGTAATCTTAAGCCCCTCATCTCAGAAGGCATCCTGCCCCATATTCTGGATGAATGAGTGCTGCACAGAGAGATGAAGAAAAATCTGAACAGAGAGGCCTTGCTGGGTTTCCCCATGTGGTCTATTAGTGTTAGATCACACCTCTTTTTTCCAATCACATTTCTACATGGTTGTCAATCATGCTTATGTGATGAAGCTTCCATAAAACTCCCAAACCTGGGTTTGGAGAGCTTCTGGACAGCTGAACATGTGGCAGTTTCTGGAGGGTGGTACACTGAGTGAGGTCATGAAAGCTCTTCACCTATTTCCTGATAACTTACTCTAATCATTTCTTTATCTGTATCCTTTGTAATACCCTTCATAATAAACTGATAAACATAAATGTTTCCCTGAGCTCTGTCAGCCATTGCAGCAAATTAATTGAAGCCAAAGAGAGGGTTGTGGGAACCCCAACTTGAAGCTTATTGGTCAGAAGATCTGGAGGCCCAGCCTTGTTACTGGTGTGTGAAGTGGGGAAGAGGGTGAAGGGCAGTTTTGTGAAACTGAACTCTCAACCGGTGGGATCTGATGCTGTCTTTAGGTATATAGTGTCAGAATTGAATTGGAGGTCACCCAGTTGGTGTCCACCGCAGAATTGATTGCTTGGTGGTGAAGAGAAACCCGTGTACATTTGGTCACAGAAGTCTTCTGTGTTGACTGTTACAATCAAGTGAGAGAACAGAATAAAACTCTTTTGAGTATATTTATTACGCTCAGTGTGTGTGTGCATGTGTGTGTGTATATATATATATCTCACATATATAAAACATTATCTGTCTATATGGTACTGTACTATATATGTACATGTGTGTGTGTATATATGTGTGTATATATATGTGTATATACATGTGTGTATATATATACTGTGTGTGTGTATATGTGTGTGTGTGTGTGTGTGTGTGTGTGTATATGTAAATATATATATAGAGAGAGCTCCTTCTATGGTTCTGTTTCTCTGGAGAACCCTGGCGAATACAATGATGTTTTAGGCAGCTTTAAAAAGTATTTATCAAGTTATAATTTATATCCAGAAAAATTTATCATCTTTAGTGTATAGTACACAAGTTTTGACAAACACATATAGTTGCACAAACACCGCCCAATCTAGATATAGAGCATTTCCAAGACCTCAAAAAGTTTCCCTCATCTGTTGGTAGTTAACCCCTCTATTTTCTGTTGCTACAGTTTTGTCTTTTCCAGAATGTGATATAAATTGGTCAGTTTTACTTAAGAATAATATAGTATGTGAAGATGAGTAGAAAATAAAACTGAAACAAGATTTGAGGCCAGATAATGAAGTAGCTCTGTTAAGGAATCTGGAAGTGGATTCCTACCTTGTCTTGGAAGTGATATAGTTCAGTAGGAAGTGTACGGATTTTGAAGCCTACAGTTTCTGAGAATGAATCAAAAGTTTTGTGATCTTTACACATTCTGCTTAATTTTCCTGACATTCATTTGAACAATGGGAGAAAATACCCACTTCATTAGGTTCCATTTGTATACAAATATGATAATGTTTGTATATTATTTAATAGAACAAAAGGTATTGCTAGGGTCTGAATATTTATGCCCAACTCCCCACCGAAAAAAATGTATATGTTGAGATTCTAACCCCCAAGATATTGGTATTAAGAGATAGAGTCCTGAGGAGGTAATTAGATCATAGGGCAGAGCCCTCATGAATATGATTAGTGGGCTTACAAGAGGCTAAAGAGACTAGAGTTCTCCCCTTCCATCATGTGTGGATGCAGCAAAAAGGCACTTTCTTTGAACCAGGAAACTAGTCGTCACCAGACATTGTAGCTGCTAGAGCCCTGATCTTGGACTTCTCTGTCTCCAGAACTGCAAGAAATAAATTTCTGTTGTTTATAAGCTACCCAGTATATGGTACTTTGTTATAGCATCTTGAACAAACTAACAAGTAGTGAGCATGTGATTAAGTTATACCACAACTAATATTAGTTTGCACAGGCCAGTAGAAGTTTGTGATGTGGGAAGCTCTGACCTCATCAGAGCTATTTTTTTTTTTTTAAATGTGGAATTGATTTGAAGTTCAGGTACTGGAAAAATAACCAGTTCAGAAAAAACTCCCCAATAGGTAGCATTGATCAAATGACCTTCTTGGTCATTTTTATGCCTACAGTCATGCAAGAAGAGGACTGAAATCAGGGACATGATGAGAGCCTGTGAGTAGGTACTTAGAAAACAAATGAAGAATTGATATTTTTAAATAAAGATAAAAGTATTCATTAGAGGCTGGATGTGGTGGCTCATGCCTGTAGTCCCAACATTTGGAAGGCCAAGGCAGGAGGATCACTTGAGCCCACGGGTTTGAGACCACCCTGGGCAACATGGCAATACCTTATCTCTACTAAAAATTAGGAAGAAATTTAGGTGTTCATTAGAGCCATGTAAAATTTGAAATTACAAGGCTAGATTTCCACAAACATAAAATAGGTTGATGAGAGAGAGAGACTGGGCAGAACTGAGGGCCAAGTCAGTACCATCAAATGTCAGTACACCGCACTTTGGAGTCAGGAGCGCGGGGCTGGATCGGCGAAAGAAAGACAAAGGTGTAACAGAGTGTAGTATAGTAGCCACACAAACCGAAATTTTCAGGGAAGTGGCCAGAGTCTAAAGATTTAAACAGGCAAAAGGAAGACAAAATGAACAGAGTGAGAAAGAAAAATCCCATTTATTATATTGGGTGCTTTCAGAAATGTTTTAGAGTCTTCTCTTTACAACCAATCTGAGAAGTAAAAATCTGAGATTCATATAATTTTAATGGATTGACAAAGGTCATATAACTAGTAAAAGATAGAACTGAAATTTAATCCTAGATGTTAGAAAAAGAATTATGAGGCCTTTTGAAGTAGTAATAAGGAGGTTACTGGTCACCATCAAGAAAGTTATTTTAGGGGGATTGTGGAAGCATAAGAGAGTTTGAAAGAGATTTTAAAGTAAGCAGATAACAAGAAAAAGGGGCACCAGTCTTTCAAGTTTTAAGAAAAAGGAGGCAAACATTACTAACTCAAGGGATTTAACAGTGTCAAAGGGGAAATCCCCAGGGATGGAAGGAATTAAAATTGCTAGTGGGCAGGTTGCGGGGAATAAAGTTTCATGAGCTATAAAACATTATAAATCTCTGCAATGAGTTGCTCTGAGAATTGAAATAGTCATACTTAAATATTTTTAGTACTTTAAATGACAGAATGGTCTATTGTTTTAGTTTTTTACCGTGCTTGTTGTTATTTACAGTATTTTATTTCTTTTGAGAATTTGAACTTTTTCTGATAACAAAAAGATTCTTTATTTTGGAGAATGTGGAAAGTTTAGGTAAAGTTTCCACTGAAGAATGGTGATGTTTGAAACACTCAAGAAAGAAATGGGATCCCTAATGTTTTAAATGGCTAATTTTGTTGTGTGTAGAGTCACATTCTTGAATTCCCCTTATGTATCTGTTCGGTAAATGTTTGTAAGTATTGTAAGAGTGTTTAAGAGTGTGTGTGTGTGTGTGTGTGTGTGTGTGTTTGCGTATAGGTCCATGCCTTTGATTTTGTTCAAGAAACAATTGCAAAATATCAAGAGCAAAGAGTAAATGAAGACAGAAAAAACATAGAGACATATTTTCATCTCACACTGTCACGAAACCATAAGAGCATCTGTCATGGTGATGTGCACCTCTGGCCATGAATTTGAAATAATACCAGTTAACATATGTGGAGCACTAGCCAAGTGCTAAATACTTTTCATGTGCTTTCTCTCTCTTGTGTGTGTGTGTGTGCATGCATGCATGTGTGTCACATGCATGATTTGTGATCCTCTTAACAGTCCTCAAATATAGGCATTACTATGATATTAGTTTTACAGATATATAAATTTGTAATTTTCTCAAGGTCGCATAACTGGTAACTGGACCAGCCAAGTTTGATTTGAGGTCCTGTGATTCTAGGGCCCAAGTTTTCAACTACACTCTATTGTCTCTGCAAAACCCAGATATTGGGAAAATAATTTATTGTCTGATTATTGTTGTCAGGAGCCATGAGATAAGAAAATTCCCTACAAATAAGTGAGAAGTTTTTTCAGATATGAGTGACTATTTTTAAAGATCTGAAAAGAGAACAACATTGGCATGAAAAATTAGGTTTAGCTGTCTAAATTCCCAAACCCCACGGGATAGATCTGTGCAGCACATCGAATCTGTGACAGGGTGGGCTAATTTTCCCAGAAGACATATTAACAAACTTTAATACTGTTACTTTCCTTTACCATCTTGAATGGAATATGTGGGACAATAATAATTGTCTTATATAGTCTCTAATAATTTTATAATGTATTCTCTCACTAATAATTTCTCTAATGGCACTTAAAGAAAACAAAGTACTCAATGGCAACTGGCAATTTTGGGGATGAGGGAGCTTATAGTTCCAAAAACTCAATCCATGAATAAAGGAGAGGGTATTTAGAGAGAATGGAGTTTGAGGAAGAATTTTTTTCCCCTTGCTTTCAGGCTGAGAGAGTTGGGGAAGAAAATAACTTCCTTTTTAAGTATAGGGAACTCAGACTAGGAAGGATCTGTGGTCCTACTCTCATCAAGAATTTTGAGAGATACCTTCCTTACCTCATAGGTATTGAGGTATAAAGTAGAGATAGTCACGCTGGATGCCAGAAACAGAGAAGCCTGAGGTAGCCTACTGGATCACACGTCCTTGGACTGTTGTGGGAGAATGATGATTCTCATTTCTTCAGCTACATATGCAAGTTATATATTGAAAATGCCTGTAGTCCAGTGTTCTAAATATCTGTCTGCAGTATATGGCACAGATTATCATTCCCTTCTTGAAATGTTTACTTCACCTGCCTCAGGGACCTCATTCTCTTATTTTTTCTTCCACTTCAGCTAGTATTCCTTTGCACTTTCATCTGCTGATTCTTCTTCATTTCCAACATCTCTAAATTTTGCTGAAATCTCCTCTAGTCCCATAGCTTTATGAATAATCTGTGTGTTAACAACTCCCAAATGTTTATGTCTAACTTGGATCCCTTCTCTGAACTACAAACATTGGCTATTTACCTACTTTCATAGTTTCATCACTTGCATGTTTAATAGTCCTCTCAAACTTAAAATGCCAAGTGCTAATACTTGACCTCCTTTCCCACCCCACCCCAAACCTACTTTTTTCATATTCTTCCCCCACTTGTAAAATAAAACTTGACTTCTCTATTATCCCAGGTCATAGACTTAGTCATTATTATTTCATTTGCTTATTCAGCAAAAAATTATTGAGCACTTACTAAGTGGGACAGTGTCCTATGCAATTGTACATGATGGAAAAAAACAAAGATCCCTAGACTCTTAGTGATTTCAATCAAGAGGAAGGATGAAAACTATACAGTACACATATTAATAAGCAGTTAAATAGTATCTCAATGGTGACATATTCTGTACAAACAAAAATGGAGCTGGGTGGAGCAGATTGGAATGAGAATAGTAACTTGTAAAATTAAGTGGCAAGGTTAAGGTAGGTATATTCTGGAAGGTAAGGGCACTCATACACTTGAAGGTGAGACAGTTTACCTGAGTCAAGGTAGCTGAGAGAAAAGTGTTCTAAGAAGGGGAACACTAAAGAAGCTAAAGCGCTAACCTCCTTGCTATCTCTGAGAAAAAGCATGAAAACTAATGTGTTTGGAACAGGGTAATCAATAAAAGAAAATCAAAGAGGTAACAGAAGGACAGATCCTGAAAGGCCTTTCAGGTCCTTGTAACCACTCTGGTCTGTTATTCTAAGTGAAATAAAAAATAATACAAAATTTGGTTAAATATTTGCCACTATATATCTTAATTTTTAAAAGGATCACTGTGGCTATTCTCCCAAAAATAAACATGGGAAGAGGGAGGTGGGCAAGAGTGGAAACAAAAAGATCTATTAAAGGACGTTTGCATTAACTCTTGGGATAAATGGTGATGGTTTCAGCCAGAGTGACAGCAGTGAAAATAATGCGCAGTGGTTAAATTTGTGATATCTTTCTTTTTTTTCAACTTTTATTTTAGATTTGGGAGCACATGTGCAGGCTTGTTACCTGGGCACATTGTGTGAAGCTGAGGTTGGGTGTAAGAATGATCCCATCACCCCGGCACTAAAAGAATTCAACAGTCTTTCAACTCTTGCCTCTCTCTCTCTCTTCCTTCCTCCTCTAGTAGTGTCCAGCGTCTGTTGTTGCCATCTTTATGTCCATGAGTGCCCAATGTTGAGCTCCCACTAATAAATGAGAACATGAAGAATTTGGTTTTCTGTTTCTCGTTAATTCACTTAGGATAATGTCCTCCAGATGCATCTATCCTACTGCAAAGGACATTAATTTCTTCTTTTTTTATAGATTCATAGTATTCCATGTTGAATAACTACTACGTTTTGTTTATCCAGTCCACCATTGATGGGCACCTATGTTGAGTTTATATCTTTGCTATTGTGAATAGTGCTGAAATGAACATGTAAGTGCTTGTGTCTTTTTAGTGGAAAAATTTATGTGCTTTGGGATATATATACAGTAATGGGATTGCTGGTTCAAATGGTAGTTCTCAGTTCTTTGAGAAATCTCCACACTGCTTTCCACAGTGGCTGAACTAATTTACATTCCCACCAGGAGTGTGTAAGCATTCTTTCTTTCTCAGCAGCCTCACCAACATCTGTTTTTTTTTTTTTTACTTTTTAATAATAGCCATTCTTACTGGTATGTGAGGATATTGCATGGTTTTGATGTGCATTTCTCTGATGATCAGTTTTTCTCTGATGTTGAGCATTTTTTCATGTTTCTTGGCCACTGGGATGTCTTCTTTTGAGAAGTGTCTGTTTATGTCTTTTTTGTTGCGTTTTTTTTTTTTCTTGCAAATATTTTCTCCCATTCTGTAGGGTATTTGTTTACCATGATGATAGTTTCTTTTGCTATGTAGAACCTCTTTAGTTTAATTAGGTCCCACTTGTGAATTTTTGGTTTTATTGCAATTGCTTTTGAGGTCCTAGTCATAAATTCTTTCCCAAGGATAATGTCCAGAATGGTGTTCCCTAGATTATTTTCTAAGATTCTTATAGTTTGAGGTCTTAAATTTAAATTTTTACAGATTTGGGATATATTTCTTTCATACCTCACAACAAATTCATCATCTCTTCTCTAAATTCTGTTCAAAACTATATCCAGAATCCAACATTACCTTCATTACTGCCAACTTGATCCAAGCCACTGCTAGCCTGTGTCTGAATGAATATAATAGCCTCTAATCTGGTTTAGCATCTTCCCATTTCCACCAACCTCTCACTCTAGTCACCGCAAAATTAATCCTTTAATTGTTAGTCAAGTCATGTATTTTCTCTTCTCAAAACCTCCATGAACTTTCTATGAGATTTAAAGTAAAAGCCAAAGTCCATAAAATGGCCAATAGGGAGACATTCACATTCTGATTTATCCTTTACTGCTTTAGCCTCTTGTCCTGTCATGCTCCCAATTATAGTTTCTACTCCAGTCATCTCTGGCCTGCTTTAGGATATTTTTAATCAGTGTTTTCTCTACCTAAATATCTCTTCCACCGATGTCTGCATAGTTAAATTTCTGTCTTTGTTTCTTTTTGTTCTTCTATCAAATGTCACTTGAAAGTAAGAAGGAAAGGGGCCAGGCGCGGTGGCTCACACCTGTAATCCTAGCACTTTGGGAAGCCAAGGTAGGTGGATCACTTGAGGGCAGGAGATTGAGACCAGCCTGGCCAACATGATGAAAACTCATCTCTACTAAAAATACAAAAATTGGCTGGGCATGGTGGAGGGGGTGCCTGTAATCCCAGCTACTGGGGGTGCTGAGGCAGGAAAATCACTTGAACCCGGAAGGCAAAGGTTGCAGTGAGCTACGATCCCTGGAGTGCCATTGCACTCCAGCCTGGATGACAGAGTGAGACTTGGCTTCCAAAAAAAAAAAAAAAGAAAAAGAAAGCAAGAATTAAAGGGATGAGAAAGGGAGGGGGGGGAGAGGACAGAAGGGGAGGGGTGGAAGGGAGAGGGAGGGGAGGGGGAGGGGAATGGGAGAGGGGACGGGAGGGTGATGGAAGGGAGGAGGAGAGATGTAAGGGAAGGGGGATGGAAGGGAGAGGGGAGTGGAGAGGAGTGGAGGGGAGGGAGGAGGGAAGGGGAGGGGAGCAGAGAGGGAAGGGAAGGGAATGGGGAAAAGGAGGAGGAAGGGAAGGGGGAGAGGGAGCAAAGAGGGAAGGGAAGGGAATGGGGGGAGTGGAGAAGGGGGAGCAGAGGGCAAGGAGAGGAGGGGGGAGGGGAGAGGAGGAGGAGGGGAAAAGGGAGGGAGGGGAAGGGAAGAGGAGGGGAAGAGGAGGGACACAGGGAGGGGGAAGGGAAGGGAAGGAGGAGGAGGAAGGGAGGGGGAAGGTAGGGGAAAGATATAAGAAAGGATGAAAGAAATAATAGGGGGAGATGCAAGAGAAAGAAAAGTGAAGAAAGGAAGGAAGAAGGAAGAGAAAGTAACAGAGGGAGAAAGATAAAGAAGGGAGAGAAAGGAAGAGAGGGAGAAAGGGAGGAAACTTCTAAGTCTTACAAGAAGCAAGATATAGTAGATGAACTGTTTTCCAGATATAAATGGATATGTGCATCATGATACTATGTTATGTTCAGCGTAAATTGTCTTGGGAGGCCACAGTGTATAATTATGAATAACTCATTTCCATGAGTCAACATATAAAAGTTCTTCCCTTTAGATAACAAAATGTTAGTAGCACATTGATTCATGAAAAATGTGTAAATATTATATAAATTATATAAAGAATAAATCATAAAACATATACACATGTATAATTTTATTTATTGCTACAAATAGAAATTTTTTTCTACAGTGTGATTTTAATATTTTAAAATATTACTTTTCTTTCATTAGGAGAGTGATTAAATATATGTTTCACACACTTACTGCAGGATCAAGTGTAATACAAATGATTTATGTTTAATTTAGTAATTTGAAAATATAAGGATAGTATTAAAGCCAGTGTCCAACTGGGACTGTGGGTTCAGGATATACTAATAGAATCTTAATTTGACAAAATTCTAATGCACTCAGTAACTGTTCTTTCTATAATCTCACAGATAGAGGTGAGATTTCATTTATTCTACCTTTCAGTGGTATAAATTTCTTGAGGCTTTCTTTATTATAGTCCCATAATTCTTCTTTAGGAAAAGGTAGATTCTGTATTACTTCTTTTATAAAGATCATCATAGAATCAATAAGTAACATACTAAAATCGTTCTTCGCATCAGCAGGCCCTCTTTCTGTTCTCTTATGCTGACAGCCTTTGCTATACAACACCATCTGAGGTTGTTACTAAACCTTCAGCATCAGGTTTCCCTAGCAACAGAAAGCTTTTTTCTTTCTCCCACTGTCTGTATATGAGTTTTTTACAAAAACAAAAAAAAAATTGTAATAATCTCTAAAAACACAAGAAAGCATTCAGACTGAGACCTATGAAGTTAGCAATGAAAATGGTGAGTTACAAATAAAATAAGGAATAATTAAATTGTAGAGAAGTATTTTGCTTATGGATTTACACAAAGCTCCAGATGGTGATTTGCTATATTCATCTCCAGATTAGCTAAATAAAGGCCAGGCCTTATGTCAGCCTGCACATGGCTTTAATGACTTTACCTTTGTACTGCAAAAGGTTAAGGCTTTTAGTGCTATGTTTCAGAAGACACATATAAAAGAAGCTTTATTGGATTAGGCTTCTGAGAAACAAAGTGATACACGCTAGGCATGTCCAGACATTAACCGTAATCAGAAGCCTCCTAGGGTTGCAAGCCTCCTTGGCTAATGGTTGGGGTAAGTTATACTTGATTCCACCTAGAAATTATTTTTCTATTACTAGATAAAAACACTGCCTAGCTGAACACAACTACAAAGATCTCTAATTATAATCATAAGCATTTCTTTAACCAGTTATTTTTACTTATTATATATAAAACATTTTCACTAAATTTTCTCTGTCATTTGCTTAAGGATATTCATTCTGTTTGAATCAAAAACAACATGTGCTTTATATTCCTTGGATATACAAATAATATAATTTTCACCTCCTTTGAGATACAGGATTTGGGGGATTGCTAGAGAATCTTTATTTAGTCATGAAGTACTTATGATTGCTTTCGATTTTTGAGGTTTTCCCCCATTGTCTGCTAGCATATACATAGGGCCATGAAATGTCAATTGCAAATGAAATTGTATGATTTTTCAGTTTGTTTAGAAAAGATTTTGGCCATAAATCTAGAGATACTCATACTAGTTTTGTTGGAGGTGATGTTTATTCTCATGTTAATGATCAACATTTTTTTCCTCTTCAATGGCACTGTGAGGATAGTGTTTCCTTTGTACGTGGTTGTTTAAGTTTTCTTACAACTGATCAGATATGATGATTTTTTAACAGCTGTAGTGTGATTATTTATTTTTAAAAAGAAAACGTAAAGGTGTTTCACAGGTCCAACACTCTTACCTTATTAATACACTACCAGTCTTATTATTTAGGAGATTTATGGTTCAATAAGATTTATTAGTTCTGTTTAATTCTTATGACTTTAATGAGCTTAAAAATCTTTATTATTTAAATATTTCAGAAATCAGGTATGTTGAACTATTTGTAATTACTTAGTATACAATATTAAAATAAGGGACCATTGCTTACCTTAAAGGTTAATGTTATTTTCAAAGTTAATTGCATAATATTAGAAACTATTGATATATATACTCATGTGTATATATGCTCATATATATACTCATATCATCTATATCATATGAGTATATGTCTATCAATCATTCTGCCTAAAATTATTAAATGTGATTTCTAAAATACATATGAAATGAATATTGAAGCATGCAACATATTGATATATATTATTTTGCCATTAATTTTGATATATATTACTTTGCAGTTAATTTTCATACTATATTTATATTATCAATTCTAACAAGTTTTTATTTAAAACTTAATATTTAGGTAATAATGATTCAGTTTATATTATTAGCAGGATTAAGGAAATACAATATTACTAGTGGATAAAGTGTGTTTTTATTATCAACAAAAATTGCAATTGTTAATAATTCAGATTTTTTAAAAATAATTCTCAGTTTTTAACTTAATAGTTTTAATTGGCCTAAAAATGGCCCTTTTAAACAAAAATGTTTGCAACATTTTACTATTTAGAAAGGAAAAGGGCATTGATATTGATTTAATCCTGACTATACTCAATATTCAAGAACTCAAATGCCAAACCATGAAGAAACTTCCATGTTTGCAGTTGCCATAAATAAATGACAGACAAAATTTGTATAATTTTCTGCATTTTAACCAACTAGAGAATAACTTGTGAGCATAGGGAATAAGCACAATGCCCCTTTTTCCATGGAATTACTAAAACCTAATACCAAGCCTTGATTTGGAGGCATTCAACAAATATTGAGTTAATGCGTTAAAAAACAAAACAAAACTGTATTGACTTACTTGGTTCCACTTTCCCCTTCTGTAGCATCTTTAAAACAATAACAAAAAACTTAGGGAAAACAAAAAAGAGGAAAGGACCAAAAGAAATAAAACATTTCTGGGGAAGGGTGGCCAACAAGCCCTGAGTACGTTAAGCTATGCTTAGCTGCTCCATGAATAAATTTTCCTCTATGCAGCCCAGATTCTTTGACTCTGGCCAAGCTCCTGCCCTAAATGGCAGTAGCCAAAGAGTTAATTGCTCCCTGTGAGTGCCCTAAGTTGTCAGGAGCTAACCACTTAATAATCTTAATGAAAATCATGTATGCTTGCAGAGGCTCATAGTAACTTTTATGGTGCCCATATAACACTGGAGAAGGTGGTCTAATCATACAAGTTTTTGCTAGCCCAACTGATATAAATAAATGCCTATTACACTTCTCTATCATTGAAATAAAAAAGTGAAAAAAATACCATTTTAAGAAAACCATGTGTTCCCAGAGGAAATTCTATTTTTAAATATAATAAAACTAACACTTCAGAAGATAACCCTGGAAAATAATGCTGAATAAAGATGAAAACAATTTTCAACTTTGAATGAACTGGAAGAAACAAAGATTAGAAAATGTGCCTCAGGTCATATTCTGGGTTTTGCCCCAAGAGAACTCAGAGAGTGAGTGCATCACTGCTGTGTAAGGTTTGGTGCATTTTACTTTCAGTGTTATGCTTATTTTCACCAAGTGCATTTTCTAATGATCAAAATAGTATTTACTAAATTCATGGTGCTAACTAAAATTTCTGATGAATAGAAGGTGTCTATTCTTGAGTTATTATATTTTATCTATTTGGGAAAGCTACTGAGAAATCAAATATAACCGAATATTAAGTTATAAATGTATAACAGTCTATTATTTTGTGACAAGAAATAGAACCACATCAAAGTCTGAAGAGATATACTCTCCATCAAGCACACATTCTTTCTTTGAACAAGTAAATGTAAACCTGAATTATAATTGTAACTGAACTTGTTGAATTTAGAATCTGAATCTGGAAAATATTAGCTTAGCAGAGTAATCGAGCATGGGCTCTGAAGTCAGACACAGTGGTTTAAGACTATTAGTCTGTTACTCATTAACTTTGCAGTTTTTAGCAAGTGAATTTTCATAAAATGGAGATAATTTTTATGAAATGGAGACAATAGTACACATCTCATCTAGTTGAGTTGAAGCTTACATAAACTATTGTATGTAATGTGCTATGCACTGTATTTGTGAGCTGAGAACTCAATACATATTAAGGATTATGAGTTATGTGATTTGCATGCTTTATTACACAAAGAAAGTTCAAAGCATCCACATGCACAGTGGTGGCATATTTAATACTGGGCTTGTTCCAGTGGAGTTTTTTATATCAGCGTTTACTCCTCCTTAGAATCTGCTTGAAGACTCTGCCTAATATTGCTTCCATGGCTCTTCTTTTCACCTTCCTTCTCAGCGACCCCCACTTTCAATTCGCTCAGTCGTTCTCCAGACATGTTAATACTGTGTTTAACAGATTACAGCCAGATCTGACAGTCTTGGACAGCATCTTTGAAGTGACTTTGTAGCACCATGCCAATCCATTACATAATGAATTTACAGTTAATTTTCAGAAACAATTCATTTTTCTGTCCTCAAGGTCTTGGAGAGAAGGTCATTAGATGTCCCAAATATCAATAAAATACTTTAATTGAGATAATGTGAATTTCTCACATTGTTAGTTCAAAATATCAGATTTCTTCTAGGAGCTTTCTTTCATTACTTCCAAAGTATTAATTTATCATTCATAGAGTTGTAACTTCAATGTAAATATAGATAATAGATAATTTTAATATTTTTAAATATAAATATAAATTCAATTTTTATATGTAGAAAATAAATACACATGGAACCAATGCACTTTGCTCATTCAAATTTTTGATAGGAATATATTCTCAATAAAAATGTAATATTAGCAAAAATCTATTTTATAAGTTAATATGCAACCATTAAAGTGGTTTATTCAATGTATTATTTACATTTTAGGATATAAGTCTGGAAATTAGCAACTAACATAGTTAAATTTATAAAAAAAGAATTATTGCTCACATATTTTCTTATTATATATCTATCTATCCATGTATCTTTCTATGTATCTGTTTATGGTTTATGTATCTATCTGCCTGTATATGTGCATGCATTAGTCAGAATTCTCCAGAGTAACAATACATATATATAGAGAGAGTAACAGTATATATATAGAGAGAGAGAGATAGAGGAGAGACAGAGAGAGAGAGGCACTTTAAGGAATTGGTTCATGGGATTGTGCAGGTTGGCATGTCTGATATTTGCATGGCCAGCTGCTGAAGATCTAGGGAAGGGTTAATGCTGCAGCTCTAATTGGAAGGCAGTTTAGAGGCTGAATGCTTTTCTTTTTAGAGGACCTCAGTCTTTTCTCTAAAAGCCTTAAAGTTATTGGATGAAGCTCACTCACATTGTGGAAGGCACTTTTCTTTACTCTAAGTCTCCTGATTTAAATGTTAATAACATCTAAAAAATTACCTTCATAGCAACATCTAAACTGATGTTTGACCAAAAAGTGGATACTATGGCACCATGGCCTAGCCAAGTTGACACATAAAATTAATCATCATTATGCACACACGCACACACAGGCACACACAAACACCCACACACACACATATGTATCTATGTATTTATACACTGCCTTATATATTTTATTTTATTATTTATTTATTTATTATTTATTTATTTTTTGACGTGGAGTCTCACTCTGTCACCCAGGCAGGAATGCCCTGGTGCTGTCTCTTCTCACTGCAACCACCACCTCCCAGGGTCAAGCGATTCTCCTGCCTCTGCATCCCAATTAGTTGGGAATACAGGCAAGTGCTACCACGCCTGGCTAATTTTTGTATTTTTAGTAGAGACAAGCTTTCACCGTGTTGGCTAGGCTGGTCTCAAAATCCTGACCTCAAGTAATTTACTCACCTGGGTCCCCCAAAATGCTGGAATTACAAGGCATGAGCCACCGCACCTGGCCACCTTATATGCTTTATAAGCTAATCTGTTTTCTTGGTTATTACAGAAAATAAGTAAGCCAATCATCAAATTAGTGTAAATACTGTCATTAAGCTTAGTGAGCTTTTTTGTTGTTCATAAACTACAACTTATTTTGAAACATTGAAAATTAATGTAAAATTAAGTAGCTTCAGCAATTACAAATAAAATGTAATGAGAAAAAAAGATTCTTTTATTTTTGAAAGAAAATAGTCAAAGAAACAAAGTAGAGAAATATTCTCTCCAAAACACGGAAGAAATAACTGAGAGCCATTGAGGATATGGTAGGGCAGAAAACTGATCCTAATCATCTCCCTACCCTGTGGTGGTGACGATTTGTTAAGCACATGTCAGTCATTACCCCATAGGGCACAACATGTTGATATTAGCTCGTTAAATATAAGTTTGGCTTCAGCTTGATGGTTAAATGTCCGATACTACCTTTGTGGGTTTGCACTGAAGTCAGAGAAATATGTTCAAGTATTAAAAGAATGCAACTCAATGCCTTATGAAATATTTCTAAACTGTGATATTACAAAGCTTCCTGTTCCAAAAAACTCTCTCTATATATATGTATATGCCCTTTTATTTATTTATGCAACAAATGCACTGTTAATATTCCCTGCACATTCTAGGTCCTGAGAAAACAGTGACAAATTAGACAACAAAGATTGTGAATTTTGTTAAGCTTTTATTTCTGGAGAGGTGTGAGAAAAAAAATCAAGAAATAAATAAGGAAGAAAATAATAAATAATAAAAGCTATCCAGATAATTCAAATAGGGTGAGAAGACATTGCCTGGGAGGGTATTTTAGACTGGGTAGTCAGGAAGCATTGCAGTGCAAGTTAATGTTTAAACTGAGATTTTTATAACAGTGCAAGAGTATTATTGGTCAGTTGTTTTAAAATAATCATCTGGCAGTTGTGTGAGGAGACTTGACTGCAGAGAGATGAACAAGCGTGAAGGAGGATGATAATAGGGAACCTAGAAAAATGGACAGATTTATTTTCAATTTTCCCATGTTATTTCTCCCAGTATTAATATGACTTCATTTCTTCTTAGTGTTTGAATACTTATCCATCTGTGATTTATTTTGGCATAAGGAGTAAAATAGACATTCGTGTTATTTTATGCACATAGGTAGCCTGTTGCCACAATCCCATTTATTCAATAATGGGAGAATAATTTTAAATATTTTTATATTCATAGTCAAATAAATTTTCCAATACTCTTTGAGGAAGAAATATATTTAAAAAGTACAGGCAAGTATTCCTCTCCTGGATATATACTCCTGAGAAATTATTGCAAAGATCTATACAAGGATGGTGTATATGGCATTAGGGAGTTGAAAGCAACCTGTGTATCCATCTCCAGAAGAATGGATTAATAAAATACAGTAAATCACACTATGAGATGCTGTATAGCAATATGAAACAATAAACCAGATATGTGACATAGATTGGTCCCCAAACAAGGCTGGATGAGTAAAGTAGGACAGAGATGGGATTTACAAAACCCTTAATGGAACTGAAAATACACAAAACCCACACTATATTTTACAAGACTATATCTATGCTGAAGAACGTACGGCAAACACATTACAAATGGTTTCCTGTGAAAGGAAGCAGATGGGATGGGGATTAAGAAATAAGGGAAAACCCAAACATGAAATGGGCTTTGTGTTGCTGGTAATATGTTAACAGTAAGAAGAAATATAAGGTGCATTCCAATTTCTGACACGGCAAATGTAAAAAAGTATGCCTGAGGCTTAATGAATATAGTAAATATTATAGCTCAATATTACGCACCAGAGGTTTAATTTAAAATATTAAAGAAGTAGGATAAAGAAAAACATTTAGATCAATACTACCATACAAATTAAAAGTTTTAAAAGTTAAAATAATTAAAGTGTAACATAGAATATTTAACATATATGTAGCCACAGTATCCCCATTTGGCCTTTGGATATTTCTGGTGTAGCCTACTTGATTCCTGGGCTTTTCTGTTTCCCAATTGTCAAAAGCTCTTGCAGACTCTGTTTCCTAATATCTATCATTAAAATGCTTCCCTCTTTTTTCCATGTCACTGTCACGGTCTTAGTTGAAGTTCTGATTGTCTCTCACTTGGATTATTGCCATGGTTTCCTAATTGGTCTCCCAGGGTCCAGTCTTGTGAGCAGCTATGATCTCTCCAAAAGTCAAAATGTGATTATTTAACTCCCTTTCATAAATCCTTGTGATGTTTTAATATAGTTTTTTTTTTTTTTTTTTTTTTTTTGAGACGGAGTCTCGCTCTGTCACCCAGCCTGGAGTGCAGTGGCACGATCTCCGCTCACTGCAAGCTCTGCCTCCCGGGTTCACGCCATTCTCCTGCCTCAGCCTCCCGACTAGCTGGGACTACAGGCGCCCGCCACCACGCCCGGCTAATTTTTTTGTATTTTTAGTAGAGACAGGGTTTCACCATGTTAGCCAGGATGGTCTCGATCTCCTGACCTCATGATTCGCCCGCCTCGGCCTCCCAAAGTGCTGGGATTACAGGCGTGAGCCACCGCGCCCGGCCTGTTTTAATATAGTTTTAAGGGAATAATCCAAACTCAGCTTGGTTGGTTCATGGCCTTCATTAATAAGACTTTGATTAGGACTGTCCCTTTCCATATTTCACCATTCACCTCCTTTGTCCAGTCATTCCAGCACTTGGGCTTCCTGTCATTTTACAGAAGAATGTTCATGTCTTCTCTCTCGACTGTTTGCTGATAAGTACCCCATCAGTTAAAAATCTCCTTGCCTTAGGATGAATAGATTACACACACCAGGTTATTCTGCAGCTACTATACATGTTCATGTCAGACTTTTTCTGTGAAATTGGGTACATGACTACTACTTACATCTGTTGGCTTATTGGTTTCCCTACCACATTGTGAACTTGTTCAAAGCAAGGTCTGCATCGTTCTTTTTTTTTTGTTTTGTAATTACCATTGCCCAGTATGAACCATAATATTGAGCAAAATTTGACAAATATTTATTAAGTAAGGGAAATTCATAATTAGTTTCAATTTTCAATTATATGTAAAATAGGGTTTCATAATTTTGATAAAAATACTTGTAAAGAGGAATAAAATTATGTGAAACTTCAACTTCATTATAAGCACAAATAAGCATCCAAAATATCATATCTAGCCATAGTAAAAATAATAAAACAGAAATATAGACGTGATCTAAAACGAATACGTATGCAAGTAGAAGATAATAAATTAAAATTATTTTCACTTGGCAAGAATCAAGTGCCATTGTTAACATTGACCAAATGGTAAGAAAGATTGGGAGAAATATTTATATAGGAAGTAAATCCAATTCATGAATAGCAAATAAAGCTCGTGCTGAATCAAATGTGAAAACTGGTGATTTTGTTCTACTTATTGACTAGTTTGAAGAAATACACATTATGTTGTATCAGTTTAGAAAAGTAATTGTAGGAAAAAGTAATCTGTTTTGAATAATATCAGGAAGATTGATTCTTTAGTTTTTCTTATGGTGAAACAATCCATGTTTAATGGTTTCTGTGGGGAATTTTAGAAAAAACTTCAAGAATTAACTAGCAAACACTGTGCTGATGCAAAGTTGTAGAATTTTAGTAAGGAAAGGTATATGAGGAAGTCAAAGGATAACATGTATAGACACCTGCAGCATGGTAAATGTTTTAGCAATTCATGTAATAGAAACCAGAAGGTGCCTTGAAATTCACAAAAAACAGTAGTGCACACCACAGCTGTGGGAGAACACTCAGAGGAAGATGTGATATAACATCTGAGTTAGATAGAATCCATCTGAGTTACATAGAATACAATTTCTAGATGCATTCTTCATTTTTTTAGCATCCTAAAAGTAAATGTGGATAGTTTTCATCAGCTCTTATCTCTTTTTGATTTATAATTCAAGAAAAAGTCTTATATTATTGATATAACCTGTAGTTCATATTTAATCGATGCATTAATTATATAGGACCCACCAGTATTTTGAGTTAGCTACAAATACTTTTATTAGAGAATGTTGGAGAAATGTACTGCATTATGACAAAAACTTCATTAACTCTCCATGTTGTCTATTAATATTCAGAGATTATGCTTCTCAATTAAGCAATAAAAAATTTACAAATTTTAATGCAAGTCATCTATGTACGGAAGATAAATATTTATTTGTGTCAGTGCTTAGGAAGGCAACTATTCTTTATGTATAATGATGCACCTTTGTCAGACAAATAAGTATTTCCCAGATACCGTATTTGAAATAATACATTCCTTCCCCCAGCGTCTGACCTAAACCATATCCGTCTCCCTCCCACCCTGACACACATAAATATTACCTGACAATGTTTCATAGGAAGCTGATGAGCTAGGCAAGTCTTTAAGCCACTCTTTGTGAAATAAATGTCGTATTTGTTACTTTGTATATTTTCCACTAATTGTGGTAGTACAGCAGTTTTGAAATGTCACATATTGGCTTCATTTGTAGGTTCTGAAAATGTCTTCTTGTGTCTTATAAACTGTGACTAGGGATACAATTTATTAGGCAATGGGCATACTGACAGGCTCTGACTAAGATAGATGTAATGCCGTGATGATTTCATGTCTTCATTAACATATGCTCGTTATTGGTTCCATCGTCTAATTTTAAAACTTCACAAGCCAGGCTCTTTCTATTTAGATTAGTTGTTTTTAAATTCTAAATGCCTCGGACCCAATCGTTTGGTAAGAATTCATAAAGTGAAAACATACTGTTATTTTCTTCTATTTTTAAGCTTGATTGAAAAGAATGCTTCTGTCAGAAATAAAATGCAGAGCTGTTGTGTTTTCTCTGTGGGCCTGCATACATTTAGTTATTTTGTTTACAATGAGTCTCATAAGATTAGAAAATCAAATTGACAGATGATCAATGTCAGATCTACTGAAAGACTACCTGCACAAATAGAATGCAAGATGAAACCTCAAATGGTCACTCAAGCCTTGATGATCATGTGGACATTGTAAAGCATGCCTGCAGTAAACACTTAATGTAAAAGTGACTTTGATGTGAATATGCACTTAACATGAATTTCACATTAGCTTGTGAAGAATAGTTTTAAAATGTCTAAAGTATACATGATGAAGTAGCTATTCGTTATGATATACACTGAGAATTGACTTTTTAATCTATATCATTTTAATTATTAGACTGTTAATTATAATAATTTTAAAACTAAGAGACAAAACATACCTTTTTATCCAAAGTGAATTATCATTATATGTATATGTGTACACACACACACAAACACACAAAAACATATATGTGAGATATACATGCCTCAGAATATATGTAATCTGGCTGCAGTTTGAATTTTTTAACTATCGAATCTTTTCATGCCTTTGGTATCCTAACAAAAACCAGACTAAGCTTACAGAATTCAATATGGTGTATTTTAAAAGTGAAGACATATGCTATTCGATAGCTCTTACCTTTAGCAGAAGAAACAATATAGATTAAGAATTCTACACTCTAAGTACTCTGGATGATTTTTAAATTTTCTTTAGAAATATTTTTGTCAATTTATTTAAGCAGTGCATAAAATACATTTCAAAGTTTAATATTTTATTTACAATGGCTTAAGTGATCTTTGAATTATTTATCATTATTAAAATAGCATTTCATTTTTAGGATGTGCAAGACTCAAGTACCGCCTTACCTTACCAGTGAGATAATTTATACGATACTTTTATGTATTGTTATATAATTGAGAATTTGAAGAGGTTTCCATATCTTAGCTTCCCCTATATTTTCCATTAATTTTCCTTCATTTAATAATCTAGCTTATCAAAAACAGAGAAAGAGGTTTGTAATAATGATAGCAACTAAGAAAATCAAGACTACCGTTAAGAACAACCACACAAAATGAATAAATGTACAAATAGTTTACTCTCAAAATAAATGATTAAAATCAGCTCGAAGTTACTAACTTCAAAAGTTGTCTAATATTCTTATAGCATATTTAGGTAATATAATTTGAAAACAACGAATTGTATTTTAGAATCAGTTTACATTTTTAACCAAATATGGTAAAGTAAATAAAGATGTTTAGATAAATAATACAGATTTTTTTTAACCAGGAGTATGACATTTTTAAATATATCTCTGAGAATTTGCCAGAAAATGTTTAATCAGAACAGGCATACTGGCTCAGGAACCAAGATCAGTCGTTTTGAAGAATACAACAGAATCTTTAACTTTCATCTCAGTATACACTACTGCAGGCAGAGGAACTTTTGTTTTGTTTTATAGGATTGCTGAGTAGGAAAGAGACCTATTATATTACCTTTTATATATTCTCCTGCCAAAACAAGCTAGATCATTCCCTCTAATCCCAGCTGAATTCTGGGATTTCATACGGCTTTAGAATAATTATTTTAGACCAAATTTGAGTAAAATGCTCAAGTTGCAGTTAACTTGTCATTTCTTAACACTATAAATACAGAACCATGTATGTTTCTGTATGTGTTTGAATATTCACAGGATATAGAATAGCCAAATTGCTACTTTGTAATTATATAACTATGTTTATATAGCTTCATACTTGACTATAAAGATAGTTTTCTATAAAAGTCAACAAAAAAATCAACTTTTTGACAGAGCCATATTACCTGTATGTGCATGTATTTATAAAATGTTATTGTAGAAATAGTTACATATAGATATAACATTGCTAAGGTAGGCAAAGTAAAAAAAAAAATAACAATGATTGACTCCTTGATATTTAATAGGCATCAGCTTAATATGGCTGTGACCCAACTTCCTCTCTCTTTTTCCTTCACTGACTTCTACCATTCTCCTATTTTCCCACTGAAAACTCTTTTATCACATGATATATGAAGAAAAATCAAAAGATTACATTGGATCTGAGGTATATATCAAATTAAAATTCAATAAATGCAGTAGAATTTCTCAGAACACCTGCAGTTTAATAACAGAATTGTGTTTTAATTCTACTCTTCACTAGCCATATACCTTCTGAGAGTTTCGGGAAATATTATTAATCCTACTGTAATATTATTTGTCATAATCTTGCCAAACAAGGGTGATAAATACCATGTCTCTTCTAATTTTGCAATCTATATTTAACTTTTCCCAGAGGTTGATATTTTTAAAATATTCCACACATAACTCGCTGTTGAAAATTTCTCAGTGGTGCCTAATCATTTAAGAAACTAAATGAACACTTATTTCTATGTACATGGACACCTAATTTGCCCTTGCATATTATATTTCAGTATCACTGAATGATATGTAGTTTTCTTGTAAAATGTATATTTTTCACAAATTATTGCCTTTGCTCTCTTTCAACTCTTCCTAAGCTTTCTGGTCTCACCTCAAATTCTCCTTCATTTTGAAAATTTTTATGACTTTATCAGGGAGATTAAGGAATTTTCTCTCTTAGTCATTATATCAAATTTTATATTTTATTAATAATTTTTCTTACGCAATACTGTCTTTTCTTGAGATTATTAAACACTTTGAAGGAAGAAAATGAACATTTTTCCTTTGTCTTCCCAATCTAACATAGCAGAGCAAACTATGGACAAATATAAATGGCTAAGGGTTTTACAAAGTTTTTTTTTTTTTTTTAAATCTACAACAAGCCAATGGTTTACCTCGTTGCTAGTTAACATCATTTTGCACAAGTGCATCAATTTGCAGAAGGTGAAATAACCAGTCAGTGTTGGGTCTGGGATTCCAAGTCAGGCAGGCTGACCCCAGAAAGTACACTGTTAACTATATTTATAGTTTTAGTTACCTGAGCCTCTTCTATACTACTGATTACACAAGGGCGATCTCTGCTTAGAAATTATAATCAAGAAGGAGTAATTTAGTTTAAATGCAAATATTTGTCTTTTTAAAAATATACCTGAAGAAGTTTCTTTTAACAATCACCAAAAATATTAAATTGCATCACAACTTCAAGAGACAAAAAAAAAATATGAAGAATCAAATGGCAATATGATTAAACTCCATAAGTTACTAAATTTAAAAATATTTACATACTAGTTTACACAGAGTGCATATGTTTTATTATACATATATATATATTTTTTTATTTTTTATTTTTTTTGAGATAGAGTTTTGCTCTTGTTGCCCAGCCTGGAGTGCAATGGCACAATCTTGGCTCACCACAACCTCTGCT
Source organism: Homo sapiens (assembly GCF_000001405.40). Lineage (NCBI taxonomy): Eukaryota > Metazoa > Chordata > Mammalia > Primates > Hominidae > Homo > Homo sapiens. The sequence continues at coordinate 65,694,186 of NC_000006.12, read as the reverse complement.
TCCCAGGTTCAAGCAATTCTCCTGCCTCAGCCTCCTGAGTAGCGTAGCTGGGATTACAGACAGGCATGTGCCACCACGCCTGGCTAATTTTGTTATTATACATAATTTTTAAACAATCATGTTCAGTTATAGAACAAAAGTTTCAGTCTTTTTATTGATCTTAGATATTATCTACTTTCTTCATCCTCCTTGTGGGGGTTCTGTATTCATCAGGTGACTATAGCATCAAAATCAGGACATTCTTAAAAGTAGTAAACACTAAAGCAATTAAAATGAAAACAAAGGTCTAGGACAACCCATAGAAACCAGCAATGTACTGTGCAAGCTGAGATGGGTGCTTAGATTTGTCTATTGACCATTTCCTCAGTGTCTTATGAGCCATTATTTCACAAGACACATAGGATCTTCCATATCTCATTGCGTTTACTTCATGTCTTTTTAAAAAAATTCAGATGGATTTTCTAAACTCAGATGCATAAAAGCAAGTTCTTACTCCTCCTATTATCCTTTCCTAATTTTCTCTGTCATTATCTTTATACTTGAAATTCTATAATTTTCCAAATCTTAATACTTCTCTAATATTAAATATCAGACTAGTGACTTCTGCAGGTTTTATTGTAAAATAGGTTTTTTTTGTAACCTCATGTTAAAAATCAGGATGGTACTAGCAAATGTGTCCCTAAAATGCCAAACATCTTTCTTTCTCTTGCATTTTATAAACCACCACTGGTACAGTTTTGTTGTAACTATGGCCCAAGACTTAAAAAAAAAAAAAAAAAAAAGAAAGGAAAAAAGAAGATTGTTTGCTTTTGAGGGCTGTGTCTCTATCAGAGCTCTCCTACATGTTTTCTTCATTTTTACAAAGTTACAAGCTATATGAACTGTAAAATTATGCAGCATAAATTCATTGTAGAATACATAAGGAGAAAAATGGGAGAAAAGAGAGAGGAAAAAGGGAGGAAAGAGGGAAAAAATAAAACAGAAGTAAGGCTGGAGAGAGAAGAAAAGAAAGAGAAGGAAGGAAAATAGGAAGAAAGGAAGGAAGCGATGAAATCTATTTGACTTCTTGTTATTATTGGGAAATTTGATAGAATGCTTTATATTATTTTCTTGTGTAGTGCTACTTATGAAGACCATTTTACAAAGCTTTGTCTCACCTTGAAGTGTATGGTATTTATTTATTTATTTGCTTAATAGATGTCTGAGCATCTAGGTATCTCAGGAGCCAAGACCATATGAAAGAAGGGATCAAAAACTTACAATGTAATGGTGCAGTTATTATTTCCAAAATTCTAAAAAGTAAAATATAAACCTTCTCTATGAGTTGAAAATTAGCCTAGAGTATATCTTTCAAACAAAATATAATGCAAAGTATTGAAAATTGTCTTTCCACCTTTTTTTAAAATTGTAGCAATTTGAAAACATATTTTAAAGAATGACTTTCTTTCTCCAGAACTGGATAGTTCTACATGTTTATAAATACTACATGTCGTGTTAGAACCAAAAAAATTATATGTTTTAGTCCCTTTGTAGTTCCTTATGGAAAACAATTCTTATAAATGATTAATTGGAAAATTATACTTTCCATTTATATTTATCATTGTAGTGACATCTTTTACAATTATAATATCACAAGGAAAAATGTATATCCACTTTTTTCATTACCAGGAAACAAGTATGAAAAGATCTTCTTTTAATAAACTAAGTACCTCAAATTAATATTTAGTGTTTTCTATGAATTATGTCAATTTTTTCATATTCTGCTTCTTTTTAATTTTATTTTTATAGTTTTAGGGAGCACAAGTGTGGTATTATTATATGGCTATATTGCACAGTGGTGAAGTTCACTCCTTCAGTGTAAACATCACCCAAATACTGTACTTTGTACCCGTTGGTAATTTCTCATTCGTCACCTCCCCACTTTCCAAGTCTCCTATGCCTATTATTCCACGCTCTATGTTCACTGTTAACATTATTTAGTTCTTACTTACAAGTGAAAATATGCAATATTTGACTTTCTGTCTCTGACTTTGTCACTTGGTATAATGGCCTCCAGTTCCACCTAAAAGACATAATTTTATTCTTTTTTATTCCTGAGTAGTATTGCATGGTCTGTGTTTATGTGTACAAATTTTCTTTATCCAATAATCCACTGATGGACTCTTAAGTGTATTTCATATCTCCTATTGTGAGAAGTGCTGCAATAAACATACAAGTGAGGTAACTTGTACTGGTGCCAAAACAGATATATAGACCAATGGAACTTAACGGAGGCCTCAGAAACACCACACATCTATAACCATCTGATCTTAGGCAAACCTGACAAAAACAAGAAATGGGAAAAGGGTTCCCTATTTAATAAATGGTGTTGGGAAAATTGGCTAGCCATATGTGGAAAGCTGAAAATGGACCCCATCCTTACACTTTATACAAAAATTAACTCAAGATGGATTAAAAACTTAAATGTAAGACCTAAAACCCTAAAGCCCTAGAAGAAAACCTAGGCAATACCATTCAGGACATAGGCATGGGCAAAGACTTCATGACGAAAACACTAAAAGCAATGGCAACAAAAGCCAAAATTGACAAATGGGATCAAATTAAACTAAAGATTGTCTGCACAACAAAAGAAAGTATCATCAGAGTGAACAGGCAGCCTACAGAATGGGAGAATATTTTTGCAATCTATCCATCTGACAAAGGGCTAATATCCAGAATCTACAAAGGACTTAAACAAATTTACAGTAAAAAAACAAACAACCCTATCAAAAAGTAGGCAAAGGATATGAACAGACACTTCTCAAAAGAAGATATTTATGCGGCCAACAATTGTATGAAAAAAAGCTCATCATCACTGGTCATTAGTTAAAGGCAAATCAAAACCGCAATGAGGTACCATCTTACACCAGTTAGAATGGTGATCATTAAAAAGTCAGGAAGCAACAGGTGCTGGAGAGAATGTGGAGAAATAGGAACACTTTTACACTGTTGGCGGCAGTGTAAATTAGTTCAACCATTGTGGAAGGCAGAATGGCGATTTCTCAAGGATCTAGAACCAGAAGTACCATTTGACCCAGTGATCCCATTACTAGGATATACCCAAAGGATTATAAATCATTTTACTATAAAGACACATGCACATGTATGTTTATTGTAGCACTATTCACAATAGCAAAGACTTGGAACCAACCCAAATGCCCATCAATGATAGACTGGATTTAAAAAATGTGGCACATATACACCATGGAATACTGTGCAGCCATAAAAAAGGATGAGTTCATGTTCTTTGTGGGGACATGGTTGAAGCTGGAAAGCATCATTCTCAGCAAACTAACACAAGAACAGAAAACCGAACACCACATGTTCTCACTCATAAGTGAGAGCTGAACAATGAGAACACATGGACACAGGGAGGGGAACCTCACACACTTGGGGGCCTGTTGTGGGCTGGGGGGCTAGAGGAGGGATAGCATTAGGAGAAATACCTAATGTGGATGATGGGTTGATGTAGGCAGACCCCGTGAAACTATTGCTACGGAATAAAAGATGAAATGCTCCTGATTATTGTAAATACAAAATTGCATGCAGGATTGTGTTAAGACAATGCCAGGTTGGACTGCCAGAATGAGCCAACAGCGCGTGATGTGCTTCCGCCTGCAGAGAGCCTATGAATGGACGTGCAGTCAGGGAGGTTTCACATCACCAAGATTCCTATCCCAGAAAAGCAGATGTTCATAGCTCTGGGAATGGAATGCGACCCTTGTGGAGAGTTTATAAACGGACGCATGAGGGGCACCTGTCCATATGGATAAGATAGGGCTATAAACGCCCTCATCTTGCCACGGGTCTTCTAGGTCTGTTTAGGGTTAAGGCATACTCCCTTCTGAGAATTTCTGGTCTAACTGGTTGTCTAGCTTCACGTCCTGCTTCTATGGATTGTTTGTAACCAGCTTTTGCTGCAACTGTTACTGCTGATTAATATCTTGCTAATCATAGGTTATAGAAAGACTGTTTCTGTTTTAAGGCTCTGTTAGAAATTACTGATGCACACACTATATTGTAAATTCTTACCTCTGTATACTGTACTTCTGCATACAGATGTTATGTTAAAGAATTACTTCATCCCCATGTGACCATCTCACCTCATAATGAAATGACCCTAAATCCCTCACTAACCTACCCGCGCCCTCACTAAACTTAGTAATAAATGCTGGTATATCCAGTGCATTGTTGGTACTGCGGGACCAGAATGCGGTGACCCCCCTGGACCCAGCTTTCACTATCTTGTGTGTGTCTGTTATTTCTCGACCTGCCGATCTGTCTGGGAACAAAGAGAGATCCCCATTGCATTGAGGGCTGCTGGCCAGATCCCACAATATCTGGCGATGTTGGGTTGAGGGGTGCAGCAAACCACCATGGCACATGTATACCTATGTAACAAATCTGCACATTCTGCACATGTATCCCAGAACTTAAAGTATATATAAAAAAGTAGATTTTCTAAAGGAAGATCATATAAAGTTGAAAACAGGATGAAGCAGTAAAATACTTATGTTATTATTAAACATATCTATATTCATATATATCACAGCAACTCAAAATAATATAGGATAATTTTTTCTACTTTTCAATTTATCTTAATTTTTACACATAATTTTTTTTATTATACTTTAAGTTTTAGGGTACATGTGCACAACGTGCAGGTTAGTTACATACGTATACATGTGCCATGTTGGTGTGCTGCACCCAGTAAATCGTCATTTAACATTAGGTATATCTCCAAATGCTATCCCTCCCCCCTACCCCCACTCCACAACAGGCCCCAGTGTGTGATGTTCCCCTTCTTGTGTCCATGTGTTCTCATTGTTCAATTCCCACCTATGAGTGAGAACATGCGGTGTTTGGTTTTTTGTCCTTGCGATAGTTTGCTGAGAATGATGGTTTCCAGCTTCATCCATGTCCCTACAAGGGACATGAATTCATCCTTTTTTATGGCTGCATAGTATTCCATGGTGAATATGTACCACATTTTCTTAATCCAGTCTATCATTGTTGGACGTTTGGGTTGGTTCCAAGTCTTTGCTATTGTGAACAGTGCCACAATAAACATACATGCACATGTGTCTTTATAGCAGCAAGATTTATAATCCTTTGGGTATATACCCAGTAATGGGATGGCTGGGTCAAATGGTATTTCTAGTTCTAGATCCCTGAGGAATCGCCACATTGACTTCCACAATGGTTGAACTAGTTTACAGTCCCACCAACAGTGTAAAAGTGTTCCTATTTCTCCACATCCTCTCCAGCACCTGTTGTTTCCTGACTTTTTAATGATCGCCATTCTAACTGGTGTGAGATGGTATCTCATTGTGGTTTTGATTTGCATTTCTCTGATGGCCAGTGATGATGAGCATTTTTTCATGTGTCTTTTGGCTGCTTAAATGTCTTCTTTTGAGAAGTGTCTGTTCATATCCTTTGCCCACTTGTTGATGGGGTTGTTTGTTTTTTTCTTGTAAATTTGTTTCAGTTCATTGTAGATTCTGGATATTATCCCTTTTTCAGATGAGTAGTTTGCAAAAATTTTCTCCCATTCTGTAGGTTTAGTTTACTTCGATCCCATTTGTCAATTTTGGCTTTTGTTGCCATCGCTTTTGGTGTCCTTCCCCATGCCTATGTCCTGAATGGTATTGCCTAGGTTTTCTTCTAGGGTTTTTATGGTTTTAGGTCTAACATTTAGGTCTTTAATCCATCTTGAATTAATTTTTGTATAAGGTGTAAGGAAGGGATCCAGTTTCAGCTTTCTACATATGGCCAGCCAGTTTTCCCAGCACCATTTATTAAATAGGGAATCCTTTTCCCATTTCTTGTTTTTGTCAGCCTTGTCAAAGATCAGATGGTTGTAGATATGCAGCATTATTTCTGAGGCCTCTGTTCTGTTCCATTAGTCTATATCTCTGTTTTGGTACCAGTACCATGCTGTTTTGGTTACTGTAGCCTTGTAGTATAGTTTGAAGTCAGGTAGTGTGATGCCTCCAGCTTTGTTCTTTTGGCTTAGGATTGATTTGGCAATGTGGGCTCATTTTTGGTTCCATATGAACTTTAAAGTATTTTTTTTCCAATTCTGTGAAGAAAGTCATTGGTAGATTGATGGGGAGGCATTGGATCTATAAATTACCTTGGGCCATATGGCCATTTTCACGATATTGATTCTTCCTACTCATGAGCATGGAATGTTCTTCCATTTGTTTGTATCCTCTTTTATTTCATCTAGCAGTGGTTTGTAGTTCTCCTTGAAGAGGTCCTTCACATCCCTTGTAAGTTGGATTCCTAGGTATTTTATTCTCTTTGAAGCAATTGTGAATGGGAGTTCACTCATGATTTGGCTCTGCGTTTGTCTGTTATTGGTGTATAAGAATGCTTGTGATTTTTGCACATTGATTTTGTATCCTGAGACTTTGCTGAAGTTGCCTATCAGCTTAAGGAGGTTTTGGGCTGAGACGATGGGGTTTTCTAGATATATAATCATGTCGTCTGCAAACAGGGACAATTTGACTTCCTCTTTTCCTAATTGAATGCCCTTTATTTCCTTCTCTTGCCTGATTGTCCTGGCCAGAACTTCCAAACTATGTTGAATAGGAGTGGTGAGAGAGGGCATCCCACATAATCTTTATCTGTTTATGTTTAGAATCTTTCTACTTAGAGGTTGGTTTACTGCTGGAAAAGTGAGGTGGTAATTTATTACAAAAGGCGGAAAAGTAGGGAGTTATTTGACCTTGATATGTCCCTAAATTATTCAGATTTTTTCTATTGTCATTCACATCAGCATATGTCATATTTAAAGCTGGAAATTTCCAACTGGACTGTTATGTTTATAGATCCTGAAATATTGTCTTGAGTTTGTCTTTTTTCTTGCATATATAACCTTGCATTTTTAGTATGTAATTTTTCAAATACTGCTGTATTCTTTTTAAGTAGTCTCAGTGCTACTGCTCATAAATTATTCAGTTGCATTTTTTATGCTTTAAAGATGTATAAACTTAAATCTGAATATTTCTTGGTTTCAAAAACACAAGAAGAACAGTAATATGGCTAATGCATCCTTTATCACTCATGCGTGAAACTAGTCTAGGTATAAATGTGTGACTAAAGAATATATTATGCCTTTTATTTCTATAGAATAATTATACTTCTAATACTTTAAATTAAAAATAACATTTTTGTGTTCTAATAAAATCGATTTAAATAGCCTATAACATTAAAAAAAAAGCTCCCTTTCAATTTTTCATGTTGTCACCAAGCCCCATCAATTCTAGCTTCCAATGAGTACCTCTTAACTTTTACCAGTGTCAATACCCAGCTTCAGGTATTCATCATCTCTCACCTCATGTGTTATAATGACCTTTGCATTGGTCCTGTTTATGTATACAACACATGGCTACTATTTGCCTTTTAGGAAAAAATTCAGATAATAATACTTTCTTGCTTTAAAAACAACCCATTACCCAAGGGATAAATAAGAATTCCTTAAAGTGATATTTTAAAAGTTCATTTGTATTTATCTTTCATTTTGTAGTTTGTTTAACAAACATATGAATCCTCCTGTTCTCCCCATTTATGTGTGAGCATATGTTATATATGTGTGTTTATGTATTCGTATGTGTTTGTGTGTGTGCTAGCACAAGCACAGAAGCATACACGTGCATAACCACATAATCGCGTCGACTCCACTACATAGGCCTCCTTACTGTATGATCAAGGAGCCATTGGAGCACCAGAAAGAAAATAATAATTACTAAAAAATGGCATTGTAATAAATGGCTTCTGACCTTGGAGGAGGACTGATTTCAGTCTTTTCTGTCCCATATTAGATTTTTCAAGATGCAGAGGTAGACATCAGTATCAATTAAGGGCTCTTAGCATTGTCTTCTGGGGAAGAGCCGGGAAGAACGCCAGAGAAAATGGGCTCTGATACAGTCTAAATAAAGACCTCTAGAGATGTCCCTTCAGGTTATCTTAAGTAGAAAAGAAAGGATTAGGTTTTCAGTCTGTTTGTTTGTTTTATACCTGCATCTGGCTATCATTAGATGTAGGGTGACACTGGGAAGAACATGATCTTAATCAAGGCAACATTCTTCAGGTAGAACAATTCCTGAAGTTGAGGAAGAGCTCGAAATAATCTCGCAATGCACTTCCAGTAGATGGGGGAATAAGTTTTTCAGTCTTGAACGGAGATCTGGGAAGCACACCATATGGTCTTCTGTACTTACCTTAGAACAGTGATCAAATATATTTTATATGAATTTAATGTTTAGAATATTAATTTGAGGATTGAAGGCATTAGAATTTTAATGAGAATATATTGCAACATTGTTGTACCTTCTAGAATGTGAATGACTCATTCAGTACATAAAAGATATAGATTACAAAGGAAAATATGAAATTTGGACATATTAACTGTCTTCTCTCACATATGCATGGAAACACACATTTCGCTGTAATGGAAATAAAAAGAGGTTAAAACAACAAAAAGAGAATATTAAGGCAAATATGCCAAATGATTAATACTCTTGCAGCTGGTATATTGAACAGGGAATGAAGGTTGAACTCTATGTGATATAAATAGGAAAATACTTTACTTTTCTCCAGACCTTGCCTTCAATTATACTCTAGTAAATTCTTTTTGCTGAACCTTAAGTCTATCTATTGGCTTTCCAATCAATTTCAATTAAAAGAAAAATTTTATTATGGTAATTCTGACACATTCAGACATTAAAATGTCTAGTTTATATAAACAAAACTTCAATTTGATGTCGTAGTCGTAGCTTCTTTCTTCCCAGCACAGACTTGATTCTTGATTCTAGGTTTAAGAAACAATAGAGGAAGTGAGCAAAGGAATTAGAGAAAAAATGCTGCTGAAATATGGCCATTGACGTCTCTATGTGTCCATCATTCAAATTGAGGTTCTTCTTCATATATCAGGCTTGCTGTTTTTTGGAAGTGCTACAGGGACTTTGTCCCTACTCACCTGTCTAGTATAGGCTATGCCCTTATAGAGTGACCCATGTGAAAACATTCCTTCCATATCTTATTACCCTCACTCTAACCCTATTATAGGTTGGACTACATAAAAATAACAGGAGCCAGCCCATTATCCGCATCATCTCCTCAGGCCATAGAAGCCCTATACATCTTTAGGCTGCCTGTTTTCATTCATAAGTTGGAGTTAAACATTGAGTACCTATGGACACAAAGAGGGGAACAACAGACACCGGGGCCCACTTGAGGGTGGAGGATGGGAGGTGGGAGGAGGTTGAAGACAAAAGAAAAACAAAAGAAGAGAAAACAACAACAACGAAAAACTACTTATCATATCTATGCTTATTACTTGGGTGATGAAATAATCTGAACACCAAAACCCCGTGACACACGATGTACCCATGTAATAAACCTAACCATGTACCCCTTAAACCTAAAATAAAAGGTGGAAAAAAAAGGACACATGTTTAACTGCTGACCCTTCTCTCCTCACCTTACCATGGGAAGTATCTCAAAACAGACTGCTGCTGCTTTTAAACTTCTCCAGTGGAAAACAGCCCCTAGGTTCATGTATATTACCAAATTCTCTAGAACACACACAAACGTGTATCAAAAACTCTCACACAACACTTCATTTCTGTACCATATAGCGTCTATACATTTCTGCAGCTCAGCAAACATTGTTTGAGAAAGAAGGTGCTGGCGGGTGTCCTCTCTACATTCTTTTGAACGTGCTCCCACGTTTGGCTTTAGGAAAAGGACCCCCTCCCACCATCTGACAGAGGAAGTGCCACAGCTTTCTTTATAGCCTATTAATTCCCTTCAAATAATCCATTAAAATGTTATTATTTTCTTGTAGAGCTTGGGGAGATAAGAGGATTTGCTATTTTTAACTAAATCCTGCATGACTGTGTCTCGCACCCTTCTGTAACATAGCAGAATGTTTGTCTCCTATTGTTTTCAATCCTGGTTTTATCAGAATTTGAAGACAATAAATCAGTCCTTATTGTTATCATGTTACATCTCCACCAAACAAATTGCTTATACAAAAATTGATTGGCAAGTATCATGACTTTAATAAATTCTAAGGCAATGAATATTAATCTACAATCCACTAAAGAATAAACAGAAACCAAAAGGAAAACCAGCTTTTTCCCCTTTTAACAGTGATGATACCCTTTGCCTAAAACTTTGGTCCAAAATTAGCATTATTGCAAAGAAAATGAAATAAAAACACAGTATAGTCCATTTGCACTGGTTCTATTTAAATTACTTGGCTTTAATTATACATGGTTGAGAGAGGGAGTGGATACATTCAGATACTGTTGGAAATGTTGCCTGCCATTCTGCTGAGTATATGTCCTAGACCCAGTGGGTTGTGGAAGAAAATATGAATCTGCTGCTCTCTCAATCCTTGTCAGTTCCAACTCATGTCCCTGATACTGTGAGCTTCAGTAAGCACTGAATGTGCTGCTAGTTTTTAAAAACAGAGTACTTATCTTAATAAAACATGGACCCTAAATACAAGCCACTACTTCATCTGATATTTCCATGGAGGAATTGTAAACTGTTTTACCATGGAGAAAAAAGTAGTGTTGTTATTTTGAAAGACAGATTGTGGATCTTCAAAATGGCACCTTTATCAGAAACTGACAAGGATAATTTGCACCTGACAGTTAAACAGGCAAGCAAACTGTATTCAACATTATTGCAATAGTAGTTAAGACTATTGCAATAGGGGAAAGATTGAACTCAACACCACTGAAACAAAAGGCAGGATAGTTTTTCATTGCTGGAGTAACCTAGTACTTTGAAAGACAGATTGTGGATCTTCAAAATGGCACCTTTATCAGAAACTGACAAGGATAATTTTGACTTTAGACTATTTTTCATCAGATGTGCTGACATTAAAACTAAATTCTAATGAAGATATAATACTGCTGTAAAATATTTTTGAGAAACAATTTGGCAATTTTTATCGTGAGTGATAAAAACACATCAAATATATTTTTGAAATGAATACACCATGGGTAAAGAAGGTTTGGGAATTTATATTCCCTGTAGTTAATTCAAGACTATGACAGTTTCTAATAACAGTCTCAGTGTAGAGCATTGCCTCTCTTTGATCCATATCTGAACATAGTACTGTTCTGCATAAAATGCTTAAATGACACCACATCATTTACAAATAAAGCCCAACTTATTGATAGTGGCCTAAACTTTCCTTTCTGCCATGACCGCGTTTATATTTCCAGGTAATTCTAGCCACTCTCATATGGTATTTACTGTTCCCTCAGATACTCCATATTAAAGCCATTTTACCTTCTTTTCTTTCTTTTTACTATATACATGGCCTTTCCTTCTCCTTGTCTGATAAATTTAGCATCACCTCTTGAAACTCTGTATTTGTCTCTGTGCTCTGGCTCTGACTTCTTTGAATGTGGTACACAACTAGAAAATTATTTAGCTGCTATATTGGAGCTCCCGGAGAGCATGAATTTACTGTGTCTTATAGCTCTTGATCATAGCATGTGATATATATTAGGCAATCTATAAAAATGTTTGTTGAACACTGTATTAAATAAACTAATATGTGATTGAATAATAAAAATATTTGTATTTCAAGAAATAACTATATTTTAATATTTTCAAATTATAATATACCAAATGAACAAACATTTATTATGTAAGTATTAACTCTTATATATAAAATTATTTATGACATATGTTAGGATAGCTAAAAGCCTTGGAAGATACAGATAAGGTTTCCTTTTGGGTCAGAGACAAGATTTGTCTCCTAATCAGGATAATAAATACCATGTTTTCTTCCCACTCCGTAGCTAAGATTGGACAGACTTGCTAGCAACCCTCTGATGAAACTGGAGTTTCCTATGCTTGTATTTCTCAGCAGTGACATAAACAAACTATTACTGCAGCTTCTACCTGGACCACTCTTCATTGCTCCCAAGAGACTTCAGAATTTCAAAGAAAAATTGCACCTGACAGCTAAACAGGGAGGCAAACTTTATTCAACAATATTGCAATTGTGGTTAAGACTATTGCAGTAGGGGAGAGATTGAACTCAACACCACTGAAACAAAAGGCAGGAGAGTTTTTAATTGCTGGAGTAGCCTAGTGGAAAAGTATTGAAGACTATTTGTTAGGTAGGGGTCAACGTGATTAGGCTGTGTTTGCTGATTGGCACTTACCAAAGTCAGAGTCCTACTCTCTCACAGAGCTTGACAGGTAGAGGCACTATATTTCTTAATGATTAGATTTTTAGAAGGATGGCTCTCAAGTTCTTAAGACAAATATACGTGAGCTATAAAACTAGCAAGAGGCTCAAAGATTCTTTACATCTCAAAGGGCGAAGGAAGTCAGGGGCCTAAAATCAAGAAGAAATCTGTTTAGCATTTACTCAAGCTGAGGGGAACATTAAAATTGTCTTGGTCAGAGGACAGGAGAATGATATTTATGCTGCCTGTTAAGCCATAAGTAATAAGGTCTTTTGTCTCTGGCCCAGGAGTCTCATGTCTTCTGCTAGCATAAAACACATTGTTCATGTCTAAGGGGAAAATTTAAATAAAGGCTTGTAGCCTACCATTGTAATTCAGCTCTGCTATATCGTGAAGATCATTAACGTAAAGCAAAAAGTTAATTCCTTTGTTAAATTATCTTCCTCACTGAAGCTTTCCACTGAAATATTGATATTGATTTAATTTCACTTAAATTTTTCTTCAAAGTGTGGTATTATGAAATATACATTTGGTCTTTGACCCCATTTCCTGGAATACAACTCCTAAAATCCTTAGAATCTCCAAAGTCTTTTCATATGCTAATGAGTTGGCTGATAGCTGTTAGCCCCCACAGATGATGACAGTTGGTTGCCAGATAGACCAAGGCTCTAGGGATGAGTTGGGGCTGAAGGTTAAAATGATCACTGGTGGCCAATGGGAGGCAATCTCATGAAACTGAGCCTTCAACCTGTGGCTCATTTGCTACGAGGTAGAGTGTGAGAACTGAATTGAGTTAGAGAATTGAATTGAATCCTTAGAATCTCCAAAGTCTTCTAATATGCTAATAAGTTGGCTGACAGCTGTTGGCCCCCATAGATGATGACATTTGGTTGCCAGATAGACCAAGGCTCTAGGGATGAGTTGGGGCTGAAGGTTAAAATGATCACCGGTGGCCAGTGGGAGGCAATCTCGTGAAACTGAACCTTCAACCTGTGGCTCAGTTGCTACATCAAGGTAGAGTGTGAGAATTGAATAGAGTTAGATGTAGCTCAGTTGCTACATCGAGGTAGAGTGTGAGAATTGAATTGAATTGAATTGAGTTAGCCCAGCTGGTGTTTCTGCAGAATTGATCACTTCTTTGCTGATGGTGAGGAATCCCCACATCTCCTCTGTCGGAAGAGAATTGTGAGAATATTTGTTATTAGGTCATTTATAATAGAAAGCTGAAATTGAACTCAGCATATAAATCAGAGTCAATCACAGGGCTAACCTAAACAAATTGCAGTCTTTAAACCATATTTACATTTTTAGGTCTATAATAAAGGAATTTCAAGATATTAGTTTAGCCATAGAAGTGATCCATTTTTCTTGAATCTTAGAAAACAAAATAAACTAGTTTACTTTACTGTCATTAATAGACTTTCAAGTTCTTATATTATTTTCTTTACTATAGAATGAATAAAATGCTGATGATGCTTTTAATAAAGTTCAAAACCATCAATTCTTTGCTTTTCAAAATTAAATTTTTTTGCTATTTCTGAGGTTGAAAACAAATAGTATGATTATCAGGATCTTATGTAATGTTGAAAGTGGTTGGAACTTTCAAATCTAGTTCATATTGTTAAGGAACTTTGAATAGTTTTACTTAATTTTCTAGATCTGAAATTAGTATGGATTATCAAGTGTGATCAGTAAGATTAGAAGAGTTTAGTGAAGATACGTGACCCACATCTTAGAGTCAAAGTCAAACAATGAATTTAACTTCAATGTAACTTATATTGATTGAGAACATTTGCTTTGTGTGTGTGTGTGTGTGTGTGTGTGTGTGAAAATTTAGGAGCGCATAATATATATGAATATAAGCTTTCATATAAAGCAACGTCACAAGTTTTATGTACATAATTTTCACCTGGAAAGAATACTTAAAATACAGATTCCTGTGTACCATCCACCATAATTCTGATTCAGTAGGTCTGGAGATGTTCTTAGATACCAGAGTTTTTATTCTGACTGAAGGCTATTGCAGACCACACTTTGTGAGAAATTGGTAGAAGAAACAAATTGCTATTGTACGACTTGAGATTAATAACAGATTACAACATGATCTCAAATAATTCATAAATATTTCAGGATGCAGTTTCCTTTACTATACTGTAGTGATTTTCTTGTTTTTAATTTGTCATAACAAGGAATACTTTTTATTGTGGTGAAAAAATCTCACACAACATGAAATATATCTTATTAACAGTTTTTTAGTTATACAGTACAGTGTTGTTAACTATATATACTTTATTGTAGAAAAGGTTTCTAAAACATTTTCATCTTGTATGACTGAAACTCTATACTTATTAGACAATAACTCCTCATTTCCCCATTTCTTCGGACTCTGGCAACCAACATTCTACTTTCTGCTTCTATGAGTTTGACTATTTTTTGGTGACTCATAAAAGTGGAATCATGCAGTATCTGTCCTGGTGATTGGCTTTTTCCACTTAGCATGATGTCCTCAAGTGTCATTTATGTTGTTACAGATGACAGGACTTCCTTCTTTTTTAAAGCTGAATAATATTCTATTTTATACATACACTTACATACACACATGCACACACATACACATACACATATATGCAACTTTTTAAACATTCATCTGTCAGTGGACATTTATGTTTTCATGTCTTGGTTTTTGTGAATAAAGGTGCAGTGAGCATGAAAGTGCAAGTATCTCTCCAAGATCCTGCTTTCAGTTACTTTAGATAAGTATGTAGGAGTAGAATTTCTAGATCATATAGTAGTTCTATTTTTAATTTTTGAGATATCTTCACACTATTTCTTATAGCCCCAGCACGATTTTACAGTAACACCAAGAGGGGATATGGGTTTCAATGTATTCACATCCTCTCTGATTATTGAGGATTACTGAGGATTATTATTATCACATCCTTACTGATTATTTTCTGTTTTGTTTTGTTTTGATGTCGGCCATCTATAAGAGGGATGACTTGATATTTCATTGTGGTTTTGATCTGTTTTTTCCTGTTTAAAAAGATTTAGCATCTTTTCATGAAGATGTGGGTCATTTGTATGTCTTTTTTTTTTTTGGAGATGTATATTTTCATGTCCTTTGCCCATTTATAATTGGATAATTTCTTTTTTTCTATTGAGTTTTACAAGTTCCTCATATATTTGGATATTGCTGTTTGTTTATTAGACATATGGTTTGCAAATATTGTTTTCTATTCTACAGGTTGCCTTTTTACTCTGTTGATTTTTTACTTTGCTGTGTTGAAGTATTTTAGTTTGACACAGTCTCACTTGTCTGTTTTTGCTTTTGTTTCCTGTGCTTTTTGTGTCATATTCATAAAATCGTGACCTGCACCAACATTATAAAGCTTTCCACTATGTTTTCCTCTGGGAATTTTATAGTTTCATGTCTTATAGTTAAGTCTTTAATCTATTTTGAGTTAATTTATGTTTATGCTGTTAGATAAGAATACAATTTTATTCTATTGCATCTGAATATCTTTGGCATGTGAAAAAAATTCAATTTTTCCCAACACCTTTTATTGAAGATACTGATATAATTTTAATGTTTGTCCCCTCCAGATCTCATGTTGAAATGTAATCCCCAGTGTTGGAGATAGGGCTTCGTGGGGAATGTTTGGCTCATGGGGGCAGATCCCTCATTAATGGCCATTATTGCAATAATGAGTGAGTTCTCACTCTGAGTTCACACGAGATCTAGTTGTTTAAAAGAGCGTGGTACCCCACATCCCCTTGCTCACGCTCTCATCATGTGACATGCTGGCTCCCGTTCCCTTCACAATGATTATAAGCTTCCTGAATCCCTCACCAGAAGCAAATGCTGGAGACATGCTTGTACAGCCTGCAGAACCATTTGGCAACTAACTCTTTTCTTTATAAATTACCCAGCCTCCACTATTCCTTTACAGCAACACAACAATGGACTAACACAGATACTATCCTTTCAACATTGTGTATTGTTGAAGATCAGTTGACTATATGTGCATGGGCTTATTTCTGCACCCTCAAACTTGTTTCATTGGTTTATATGTCTGCCTTTATGCCTGTATCATGTTATTTTGCTTACTGTAGCTTTGTAGTATGTTTTGAAGTTAGCCCTCTAGCTTTGTTATTGCATGAGACTGTCTGGCTATTGGGGGTCCTTTGTGGTTCTTTATGAATTTTAGGATTATTTTGTCTATTTCTGAAAAATGAAATGGCATTGGAATTTTGATGGGATTGCCTCAACCCTATAGATCACTTTGGGTGGTAATGACATTTTAATAATATTAAGGCTTCCAATATTTATACAGGATATCTTTCCATTTATTTGTGTCTCCTTTAATTTCTTTCATCAATGTTTTATAGTCATTTATTCCCTTGGTTAAGATAATTCCCAAGTATTTTTTTCTTCTTTTTGATGTCATTGTAAATGGTATTGTTTTTAACTTATTTTTCAAAATTGTTCTTTGTTAACGTGTAGAAACACAACTGATTCTATATGTTGATTTTTTATCCCGGAAATTTTCCGAATTCATTTACTAGTTCTAACAGTTTTTATATGAGATCTATTGTGTTTTCTACATGTAAGGTCATATCCTATGTGAATATAATTGATTTTATTTCTTCCTTTCTGATTTGGTTGCCTTTTATTTCTTTCTCTTGCCTAATTTCTCTAGCTAGGACTTCTGGTACTATGTTGAATAGAAGTGATAAGAGTGCACATTCTTGCCTTATCCCTGATCTTACCAGAAAAGCTTTCTTTCTTTTTTTTTTTTTTTTTTTTTTCACCAATGACTGTGATAAAGCTATGGGCTTTACATATTTTACCTTCATCGTGTTGAGATTTTTTTTTCAATTTCTAGTTTTTTTAATTTTTTTAATCATAATCAGTGCTGAGTTTTGTCAAATTTTTTCTACATCTATGAAGGTGATCAGGTGGTTTTCACTCTTAATTCTGTAAATGTGGTGTATCATATGGATAGATTTTCCTATGTTGAACAGTCCCTTCATCCCTGAGAGAAATCCCACTTGGTCATGGTATATGATTCTATTAAGATACTACTGAATTTGGTTTGCTAGGAAATTTCAGAGGATTTTTACATCTGTATTCATCTGGAATATTGGTATGCAATTTTTTTCTAGTGTTTTTAATCTAGCTTTAATCTCAGAATAAGGCTGGCCTCATAAAATGATGTTGGAAGTATTGTCTCCTCTTCAATATTTTAGCAAGTGGAAAAAGATTGACATTAATTCCTCTCTACATATTTGGTAGAATTCACCAGTTAAGCCATCTAGTCCTAGACTTTATTTCTGTTGAGAGGTTTTTGCTTATTGATTCAATTTTCTTACTAGATATATGCCTGTTAACACTTTCTATTTCTTCATGATTTAGTCTTAGTAGGTTGTATGTGTCTGGGAATTGATCCATTTCTTTGACGTTATTCAATTTGTAGACGTATAATTTTTGTAATACTCTTTTATAATCTTAATTTCTGTGGCATCAGTTGTAATGTCTCAATTTATAATTTTATTTCAATACTCTCTCTTTTTGTCTTAGTCTAGCTGAGGTTTTGTCAATTTTGTTGATATTTCAATAAACCAATTCTTATTTTTGTTGATTTTTAAAATTGTTTTTCTATTTTCTATTTGTTTCTGCTCTAATCATTAAAATTCCTTCCTTCTGCTAACTTTGGGCTTATTTTGTTCTTCTTTTTCTAGTTTCTTATGGTATAAAGTTAGGTTGTTTATTTGAGATACCTTTTCTTTATAATGTAGGTGTTTATCACGATGAAGTTCTTTCCTAGTGCTGCTTTTGCTACAGCTCATAAATTTTGGTATGTTAGGTTTTCATTTTTGTTTGTGTCAGTACATATTCTAATTTCCCTCGATTTTGTCTTTGATCCATTGGTAGTGTGTTAGTTTTCATATAATTGTAAATTTTCCACTTCTCCTTCTTGTATTGATTTCTATTTTTATTCAGTTGTGTGCAAGAAAGATACTTGGTGTGATTTCAATCGTTTTAAATTTCTTAAGATTGTGTTGCAACCTACAATGTATTCTTACCTGGAGAAGAATATGTACACTTGAGAAGAATGTTTATTCTACTGGTTTTGTGTAGACTGATTCTATGTATCAGTTGGGTTCAATCAGACTATAGTGTTGTTCAAGCTCTCTTATTCCTTATTGGTCAACTATCTGGTTTTCTATCCATAATTAAAAGGGGAGTGTGGGATTTCCTGCTATCATCATGTTACTCTCTATCTCACTCCAGTTCTGCCTATTTTACTTTACATATTTGGGTGCTATGTGCATATATATTTGGTATACATTCCTAGTGACTTCACCCTTTTATAATTCTAAGATGTTATTTTTGTTTTATGACAGATTTTGACTTAAATTATATTTTGTCTGATACAAATATGGCTACCTCTGCCTTCTTTTGCTAACCACTTACACATAATATCTTTTTTTCATCCTTTCATTTTCAACCTATGTGCATCCTTAAAGCTAAAGTGAGTCTCTTGTAGGGTGCTTATAGTTAAATCATGGTTTTGGTTTTTATCTTAATCTGTTTAGCTACTCTGTATCTTTTTATTGGGGATTTTAATTTGTTTATATTTAAAATATTTATTGATAAAGACTTATTATTGCCATATTATTCATTGTTTTCTGTCTATCTTGTAGCTTTTCTTGTTCCTCTTTTCCTCTCTTGCAGTCTTTTCTTCCCATTGACTTTTATACTGTCAGTGTTTAATTGCTTTCTTATTTTCTTTTGCATATCTCTTATAGATATTTTCTTTGCAGTTACCATGGGGCTTCCATAAAACGTCTTATAATTATAACAATCTATTTTAAGCTGATAACACATAATTTCAATTGCATACAAAAAACTTTACATATTTACTTCCTCCTCCACACATACACTTTCTGTTACTGTCACAATTATACTTTCTTATATTGTGTATAAATTTATTTTAGTTGTATTTTTATACTAATACTTTCATTATACACCAGAACTAAAAGTGATTCATATGCTACCATTATAGTATTGAAGGATTCTGTATTCATTAAATATTTACCTTTGCTACCAAGCTGTATACTTTAATATGTTTTTTTTGTTGCTATCTAGCATTCTTTTGTTTACAATTGAAGGACTCCCTTTAGTATTTTTTGTAAGGCAAGTATAATTATAAACTACCTCAACTTTTGTTAATCTGGAAATGTCTTTATTTCTTTTTCATTTTTGAAGGACAGATTTGTTCCATATAGTAATCTTGGTTGGCAATTTTATTTATTTCAGCACTTTGAATATGTCATTCTAGTCCTTCTGGCCTTCAATATTTCTGCTGAGGAATCCTGTGTTAGTTTTATGGAGGATTTCTTGTATATAATGAATCACTTTTATTGTGCTGCTTTTTTTTTTTTTTTTTTTTTTTTTTTGAGACGGAGTCTTGCTCTGTCACTCAGGCTGGAATACAGTGGTGTGATCTCGCCTCACTGCAATATTGTGCTGGCTTTTAAAATCCTCTCTTTGTCTTTTATTTCTGACAATGTGATTACATTGTGTCTTATTGTTGTCTTCTTTGAGTTTATGCCACTGGACTTCTTCAACGTGGTTGTTCATTTCCTTGCCCCAATTTGGGAAGTTTTCTGCCATTATTTCTTCCAACAAGAGTTTTACCTCTTTAACTCTTCCCCTTCTAAAACTCTCATAATGTGTATTTGTTCCCTTGATGGAGTCACATCAGTCTTTTAGGCTTTCTTCACTCTTCATTCTTTTTCTTTTTGCTTGTCATTTCAAAAGTTCACTGTTTTTCTTCTGCACAATTAAGCCTGCTTTTGAGTTCTTCTAGAGAATTATTTAATTATATAATTTTATTCTTTAGTTTCAAAATTTCTGTGTGTTTATTTTTATTAGTTTTGCACCCCCTCCCTTCCCTACACATCAAGCTTGGGGATTTGCCCCTGCCCAGGACTGGCAAATTGACTTTACTCATATCAGGAAACTAAAATGCCTCTTGGTCTAGTTAGACACTTTCACTGTATGGGTAGAGGCCTTTCCCACAGGGTCTGAAAAGGCCACCGCGGTTATATCTTCCCTTCTGTAAGACATAATACCTCAGTTTGGTCTTCCCACCTCTATACAGTCCAGTAACAGACCGGCCTTTATTAATCAAATCACCCAAGCAGTTTCTCAGGCTCTTGGTATTCAGTGGAACTTTCATGCACCTTACTGTCCTCAATCTTCAGGAAACGTAGAATGGACTAATGGTCTTTTAAAAACACGCCTCATCAAGCTCAGCCTCCAACTTAAAAAGGAGAACTCTGACAAGGATAGAGCCCAAAAACTTACGCTGAACCCCCTTGGCCACTCTCTAAGTGTATGTCCTGGGTCCTCCCAATTCTTAGTCCTTAAATACCTGTTTTTCTCTTTCTCTTATTCAGACCTTGTATCTTCTGTTTAGTTTCTCAGTTCATACAAAACCACATCTAGGCCATCACCAATCATTGTATATGACAAATGCTTCTTTTAACAACCCCACAATATTGCCTCTTACCACAAAATCTTCCTTCGGCTTAATCTCTCCCACTCTACGTTCCCACGCTGCCCCAATCCCACTGACAGCAGCCCTGAGAAACATCGCCCATTATCTCTCCATACCACCTCCCAAAATTTTCGCCACTCCAACACTTCAACACTATTTTGTTTTATTTTTCTTATTAATATAAAAGACAGGAATGTCAGGCCTCTGATCCGAGCTAAGCCATCATATCCCCTGTGACCTGCACGTATACATCCAGACAGCCTGAAGCAACTGAAGAATCACAAAAGAAGTGAAAGTGGCTGGTTCCTGCCTTAACTGATGACATTACCTTGTGAAATTCCTTCTCCTGGCTCAGAAGCTCCCCACTGAGCACCTTGTGACCCCTGCCCCTGCTGCCAGAGAGCAACCCCCTTTGACTGTAATTTTCCACTACCCACCCAAATCCTATAAAATGGCCACACCCCATCTCCCTTCACTGACTCTCTTTTTGGACTCAGCCCGCCTGCACCCAGGTGATTAAAAAGCTTTATTGCCACACAAAGCCTGTTTGGTGGTCTCTTCACATGGACTCGCATGAAAATTTTCTGTCTTTGTTGATGTTGTCATTTTATGTATTTATTTTCTGTATTCATTGAGCATCTTTACAATGGTTAATTTTGAATTTTTTGTTGAGTAATTCATATATCTCCATTTCTTTAGGACTTATTTCTGGAGATAGTTTTTTGATACTTTGCTTGGCTCATGTGCCCAACTGTTGGTTACAACAGTTTCTTCATGTGCCTTGTTACTTTTTGTTGGGATCTATGCATTTGAAAAGTAGCCCCCTCTCCCAGTATTTGTGGACCAGCTCCAAACAGGGAAAGTTTTTCTTGAAATGACCCAGCTACATATTTTGCGGGTCTCTCAAATGTTTTCTGTGAATTTGTAAATTCCTAATTAGGGAGATTTTACTGGTTTCCTTTTTTAGAAGCTGAAATTTCCTCCTTCTTATGGTGTCTGTCTCCACTAATGAAGATCCTTTGATGTTACTGTAAGTCACTCATTTCTTTTTCTCCTCATTGGCCTCAGGCATTTAGAGTATGCCAGCTCCCTTTAGTGCTCTGAGACTAGCAAGTAAACAACCAGTTTTTCAGGCAGCTCCTCCCGAAAGTCAGAATATTTGACACACCTTTTATTCTTCTCTTTTCCCCCTGAGGGACAAACTGTCAAGTTGAATCAGCTTCTGTCTGCTATACTGTAGGTCCTCTGGAGCTCTTATGTTTGTTTTCAGTATCCTCAAGCATCTAGAGCATTCAAATTCCTGTCAGTATGCCAAGTCAGGTGAAACTGTTATGCTGAGCTGGGGAGAAAGATGATGGTAACTGAGTGTGTGCTAGTTCAAAGGGCTGCCTCTGTTTCCACTGGTTTCTTATCTGACACCCTTTCCTGTCAGCACTTAGATTCAAATAGGGAAGAAATCAGTCTCTTAGCTAGTTCCCTCCAAATCTGAACATTAGACATATGTTCCAGTCTTCTATTTCCTCCCCAGGGAGAAGTGAGGAGTTAGGATCTTCCTTCTGATTGCACATTTCTGAGCTAAGGGCAGGGCTTTGGCAAGTGGGTGCCACAAATTTTCCCATCAACTTCAGTGTGGCTGGCATGATACTCACTTGGGCTATAGGAGTCTCTTGGCTGGTCTCTGGGTTTCTCACAAAGGAGAATGTTTTGCATATTGTTGAGTTGGTGTCCCTTTCAGAGGAGGGTTTGGTACTTATTCAACCATCTTCCTTACTTCACCCTGCAACAAGGAACAAAATTTATTCCTAATATTTTTGTGTCAAGAAAGCCTGTCAGAATTTTTTTTCCATTAGTTATGTGAAATATAACAGTATTTTATATTAGTTTTTTTTGTTCAAAGTTTATTATTATTTATTCCTCTTTTTAGGTAAACTAATTTGCAGAACACAAGTGTTAGTCAACCAAATTTTAGAACCTTACAAAATAAGATTAGTAGAGAAAAAAATACTGTAATTTACCAATGTAATGTTTTTAAAGTACATCTCTTTGTTTTCATGTAAAATAAAATAATATCCAAAATAGAAACATTTACAAATTTGATCGTTCTGTTTCATGATTGAAACAAGAGTGGAACTGATTTTAATTTAATGATCATACTACCATCTGGCATTTGCAATTTTGTTATCTTCACAGATGTCCTAGGATGTGGGAGGCTGGAACAGGAGAAATAGAAAGTGGATGCATAAAATTAACATATAACATGGCATAAATTCTTAAATTTTAAGTATTCAATTACTACAATAAGGACTATCTCAAGTTATAATAATCAGACAAATCAATGTTTAACAACATTTGAAAAGACATATTTCTGAAGGTTTTCTCCTTTCTTTGTGCTTTAAAAGATGGGTTGTTAAATGTGTCTCGGTGAAAAGAAATATAGGTGCCATTCATATAAAATGTGTTTTCTCCTCTGTGAGATAGCTATAACTGTGGCCAAGGAAACAAGGATTGTAATTAACTTGCTCTTTTTATGTTAAATAAATGTTTTTAAATATGGAATGATGAAGAGAAAATATTCTAGTGTCGAGGGTAAACTGATCATTTGAAATGGCATATATTTTGGAAAAGAAGAGAAATTAGTTCCTAAGGTAAGTAGCAGGGCTTTTTTCTTGAAATAAGGTCTGATTGTTTGATCTTATTAGTCTTAAGTTAGCATTCATTATCAATTGTTCAAATTTCTCAGTATCTGGCATGTAATAAGCTATTAATAGAGTTTGGATGATTAACCCAGAAACTTAGACTAACACTTCTACTGACTCCATAAAGATCATAGGCATCTGTATCAGTCATGGTCCTGGCACAGAACAGTAGCACACACAGAGTTTAATATGATATTTCAATGAAATAACTATTTACAGAAGTGTGAACAGAGTGAGGAAACCTTAACAGAATGTTGAAATACCTCATGCCTAGCAACAATGGGAATCCCTTACCACCCCTAAACCCAAAGAGATAAGGGAAACCAAAAGGTCCATCCATGCAAAAGGAGATATGCAACAGAAGTTCTTTGGTTCCATAATTGACTTTTAATGAGAGAGTGTTTATATTACAAGGAAATGTTAAGAAAATAACAAGTAGTTGAACAGTAAATAGCATTCAATTAGAAGGCATCTAAACTAGAGGACAGAGAGAAATGGCCCTTAGAAAGAAGCCAAGTCCTCCATTGAAAGATGATAAAAGGAGAAACAGAAAGGTGCAGGGTTAATCTTGTTGTATTTGTTCTAATTTCTCAGGTGAAAGAGTAGCATATGGGTTACATGTTCAAAAACAATGAGGAGGAGGAGGAGTCAGAGAGGCATGATGGAGACAATAAATCATTTTTATTAGGACTAACTATATGCTATGTACCATTAATGCTATCACAAGTATATGTTATAAACATTATTGTCATCATTTTACAGGAGAAAAAACTAAGAGATGGAGAGTTTAACCCATTTTTTCCAGATCATGCCATTCCTGTGTGACAAAGCCATAGTTAACTCGCATATGTCCAACTGTGCGGGTGTTAATAACTCTATTTGACACACAGTTTTTACACAATGATAGTAATGAGGGAAACAGGAGTTTACAGAAAAAATGAAACAAGGTGGTCTTGCTATATTAAGGACTCATTTAATGGTGATGACCATGGATTTAATGTGGCACCAATATGCATAGCTCTTACATTTCTGGCCTGCAAATCATAGTTGTCTGTGTATAGGTGAAGAGAAGCTGACAGAAAGAAGAGATCAGAGCAACCAGTGAGGGACAGCTATTGACATCATGAAGGACAAAGCATTCTCTGGCAATTGGTATTATTTTTCTCTGATTTTAAGCTATACCTAATATTTCTGGAGGGCCAGAGAGGCCAGAAACCCTATTACAAAAGGGAAATTTCAGTCTTTTATAATCCCTACTGTACAGAGAGTCTGATGCCTTTAAAATTATTTAAGTGTTTTTGTATGACTAAATCTTATGCCTCTAGAAAAGGGCCTTCGCTCCAAGTCAGATTCCTTTTAGCATGAATATATCATCTACTTTGTTTATATATGAGGATTCACCAATGAGTCCACACACACATTCATCGCCTGTAGTTTAGAAGCAGGTACCTCAAGAGCATCTCTTTACCTTGTGTGGGTCAAAATTAAAAGTTTTATTGCAAAATGAGAGATCCTCCTATCTGCATGAATGATTATATACCAAGAAATTCATAATAAATGTACTTTAGATAACATCATAACCATATATACTTAAATAAACATCATACATTTAAATTTTCTTAGAATCCATAGTTTATAACTGTATAGGTACTAAGTCAACAGGCTGTGTGCTATAGCTATGGGCAACAAATTGCAGATCTTTATTTCCAGGTACAAAATTAGTTAGCAGTGGCAGTAATTGCCCAACCCTTTAGTGAGACTAATCATTTTTTCAAAAGCTTAAAGCAGCGTAATCTACTGATTTACACTGTGGTTTATTGGCTTCCTGCTAAATAAGGTAACTTGTCAATTAACAGTTTTATTAAGAAACTAGTGAAAACAAAGTAGTGTCTGTTTGCCAATGTCTTCAATGTTTAAAGGCTAATAAGAGATCTTGAAAGGTAATCTTTATATTGTATGGAAAGGGAGAGAGACAGATATGACTCAGTAAAGCTGATGGAAGAAAATGATTTGAATTTTATATAGTTTTTAATCTCTGTAAAACAGTGGTTTAAAGTAGGGACAAGGAAGCTTTCTGATAAAGGGCAGATAATACATATTTTTTTGTTTTGTTGGCTGTACAGTCTCTGTTGCAATGATCCTGTCATTGTAGAGTGAAAGCAGTCATAGACAATAAATAAATAGGTGTGGCTGTGATTCAATAAAATCATGTTTACAAAAACAGCTGGCCAGCTGGATTTAGTCCAAGAGCCACAGTTAGCCAAGACCCAATATAAAATAATGAGGTGCAAGGTTATTGCCTATTTAATGTGATAATGAAGTAGTATTGAAAGATATTTTAAAAAACAGTCAGGCTTTCACTTTAAATGAATTGATTTTAGGGTACTTTTAAACACATATGTGAAGAAGCATGTTAGTCACAACAGTGATTTCTACTAATCATTGATTCAAGTAAGACTAAGATTCACAGTATAAAGACAACACCTAATTAGAAAACAGGAAGAAATATGATAGCCCAAAATAAAGTGGGCAAAGGGGATCTAAAGAAAGAGCCAAATATGAAACTTATGGAAGAGTTAGAGTGTAAACTATTTCATGATGAATTGGCTTTGTGTACTACTGATACTACTTCAATGGTGCATTTGCTGATATTTCTATTCACACTTAATGTTTCTCAGTTGCTGTTGTACAATACATATCAACCACTCACCCCATTACCATTGAATATCTTTTCCAACACTTTTTATTCCAAATTTACTGATAAAATTCTGTTTGAACATCAGCATCTTCATATTAGCATATCAACAAGCTTCTCTTTTGATTTATGTCCTTTTATTCATTGCTTACACAAATATGTATTGTGATACTGTAATTTAGGAAATATTGTTCTGGGTGGGAAAAATGTACCAGTGGAAAATGCCAGCAAAATCTTTGGTCTCAAGGAGCTTGCAATCTTGCAATCAAGAGGTAGATGAATGAACAGATAATTTCTGAGAACAATCATGTTAATATGCTACAAGAGTAATGTGACTGACAATTAATAAGGGTATTCGTGATAAGAATGGAATTTAAACAACAATTGATTTGGTAGTTGGGAAAGTCCTCTGAAAAGAGGCGTCACTGAGTTAAGATCTGAATCATAAGAATATGGTAATGGTGCTAAAATCTAGATCCAATGCTTACCAGTCAGAGGAAATGGCAATTACAAAGTGTCTTTGCTGGAAATGAACATAAATGTGTTCCAGAAATAGAAAGTTATGGGTGAAGCCAAATAAGTGAGAAAGAGAATGGTATGAATTTAAGTGAGAGCATTAGGCAAGGAACAGATTACATGAGTTTTGTAAACAAAGGTGAGGAATTTAGTTGTATTTTAAGCACAGTGGAAGAATTTGAAGAGTTTTAGCAGAACAGTCACATAATCAGTTTCATGTTTTACAAAAATTGCTCTGGCTACTGTGGGAAAAATAGAATAAGTAAGAGCAAGAACAGAAGTAGAACAACAAATTAGGAGATAGGGCAGTAGTCAGAGCAAGAGATTAATTCTGTGTTTGCATTTTTAAAATCACTTTCATCAAATCTCTTAATAAATCTCTTCAAAGGAAGTTCTGATTTGTTAGTACCTAGAACTTACCATCTCCAGGCATATGTATTGATGGAATTTAAGTTAACAATTCAAATCTTTTTTTTTTTTACATTGGGTGGCAATGTAGATTTACGTTTCTATTTTTTATATTTTTTATGTATTTTTTATTTATTTTTAATTTTTATTATTTTTATGTATTTTTCAAGAGTATTTATCCTTAATCTTTCTTAGCTTAATAAAATGAAATACAAATAACAGATAAAGAACCTTTTTTATTCTATGATTCTAGAAGATGTCTATAGGATGCTGATATTACTTTATTTTCACATATGGTTTCTATAGTCTCATGAACCCAGCAATTCTATATTTTAGAATATTTTAATATGTTAGAGAAAAGTCAAAATTTAAATTTCTCAAAAATTATATTTAATCAATATCTGTAGAACACAATGAAGTGTGTACTATTAAGAATATTAGAATTGACAACCACAGCTTACTATTTAGTACAACCACATAATATTTACTACCCGACAGGTATAAACTTTAGTTATGCTAACATTTAATTACTACAGTAATTAGTAATTTAAATATGCTATGTAAAGCATATGTATAATTATCCCCATTTTAAAACTGAGAAAACTGAGACAAGAAATTTTGAGACTTGTTAGAGAACAAAGCAAATAAGAAATGGAGATGGGAGCCAATACAGATTATTCTGGCTCCAAAGTCCCTGTTTTTAACTACTATTGCTTCTACATTACTATAAAAAATAAGTAAATATTGGCCAATGTGTCTATAGATATTTTATGAGAATAATGTTTGACAACCTATTATATAGCTTGGAGTACTGATTTCTTACATTTTTGTACACACATACTATTTCTTTCTGGTTCAGTATGATGGAATCTTAGCTATAGGGAAATGAACATGACACCAATGACTTAGTTTTAAAGAAACATAAATCCAAATTACCACCCAATGTAAAAAAAAAAAAAGATTTGAATTGTTAACTTACATTCCATCAATACGTATGCCTGGAGATGGTAAGTTCTATGTACTGACAAATCAGAACTTCCTTTGAATACTGGAAAAATATTACCATGTTTTGAATTGGAAACCATCAGGCACAAGAGAGAAGTTTGACACAAATAACTGGGAGTGTATATGATTTATGAAGAAATAACCCACACTATTATTGTTGTTTGTATCTTAAAAAGAGAAAGTTTACAAAGTTTATCCATACTTATCTTATTTAGAGATTTATTTATCATGGTTATGTAAATTTAGTTCTGGTGGTTGTTTCAGTTAAAAGGTACAGATCCCAGAGTTTTGTTTCATTCTCTAAATCTTCCATACAAATCATGAAGGGTAAGAATGGAATATTATTTAAGAATCTATTAATTGCTCACTGGACACCTTCACACATTTTTACAACTATGTATTAGGAGACTGCATATTTACAAATATCCACAATTTCATATTATAACATCAAGGATACCTAAGTAGCATAGACTGAATATTTAGTACATGCCATGCATGATGCTAAGCAATGTTTCTGCTGTAATTCTCATAAAACCTTGTGCCATTTTTAAGAAAATAATCTATTTTACTGTGTAGGAATTCATCGTTTCCCACAGTTTAGTGGCCATTTCTTGAGGGGTCACTGCTATTATGAAACAAATATAAATTGAAACTCAGGCCTTTAGCCCCTTCGTCTTAAGACCGAGCTTTAAGAGATAAATGAAGAAAGAAAGTATACTTCCTGGTGCAATTATGTGAGGGATTTAAGAACATCTCATAGCACAAATAAGACTGCCTTTTCTGTCCTTCAGTTCTCATACCTTAAATTCTTATGGATTTTCGATATTTGAAGTTAAGACATTATGACTTGTATGTCCCTAGTTAAAACTGAACTATAACCACAGACCTATTCCATTATGTAATTTTAGATTGTAAAGATTTCTCTCAATGTCTCTATGAAGATTTCCCTCAAAGAAAGCTGATGTCTAAGATCATACCACTGAAGGAGGAAACTGGGTACATTTAACTGCAGAAAAGGTTAGCCTGGATTATTAAGAGCTCTTTTCCTGATGGGCAGATCACAGAGACAGAATTGCTATGTCCCATCTTGTCACAGACCTTTTGTTATCTACTGGGATGAGAACGTTGAAAACTGAAAAGAAAAAACAAAGCACAAATTCTTTTAACCTCAATATTTTGCCTAGTAAATATGGTGATCAGATACCTTAGTTTGTCTAAGTTTTGCACCTGTTGTCACATCATAATTATTAAAAGGATCTCTGTTTACTCCCTCTGAAAGAAATAATATGAAAACAAATTATTATCCTGTTTATTTGTGAGCATATTAAAAATGAATAACTTCCCTAAGGTGAAATAATTTATAAGTGGAGAAATTTCATATTGAACCCAGAGAATCCTTCTCCTCTGCCCACCATCCTCTCTAGCAACTTTCTCATATATACTAAGTGCTTATTAATGCCATTGTCTTCTTTTCTCTATCAAATTATATTTCCCTCTGACTCCTCTAGACAATACTTCTTTTGTAACTCCTCTCTTCAACTTTCTTTAATATGTTTGCTTTACTTAGCTATCATATTAAAATATTCACAGCTGTAAAAATGCATTGTCTGAAGTTATCCATGGGTTTTGTATCCTGGATTGATGTTCTTCTTTTCTTTACTCCCTTCATTTCCATAACACTTCTTGAACCCTAATGACCCACATTCATCTCAGTCTGCCCTTTCTTCTGTGTGCATGGTGTGCTTTTGCCCATACCATTTGAGACTGAACGTTTGGTGAAGATTGTCACTTTCTGGTTCTTTCACTATTATTATTCTGTTTTTCTAATTTTGGTTGAAATATATAAAAATTTATGGGCCGGGCGCGGTGGCTCATGCCTGTAATCCCGGCACTTTGGGAGGCCGAGGCAGGCGGATCACGAGGTCAGGAGATGGAGACCATCACGGCTAACACGGTGAAACCCCGTCTCCACTAAAAATACAAAAAATTAGCCGGGCGTGGTGGCCGCACCTGTAGTCCCAGCTATTCTGGGGACTGAGGCAGGAGAATGGCCTGAACCCGTGAGGCGGAGCTTGCAGTGATCCGAGATTGCGCCACTACACTCCAGCCTGGATGACAGAGCAAGACTCCGGTCTCAAAAAAAAAAAAAAAAAAAAAAGAAAAGAAAAAACAAAAAATTAGCTGGGCGTGGTGGCGGGCGCCCGTAGTCCCAGCTACTAGGGAGGCTGAGGCAGGAAATGGCCTGAACCCGGGAGGCGGAGCTTGCAGTGAGCTGAGATCGTGCCACTGCACTCCAGCCTGGGCAAGAGAGCGAGACTCCGTCTCAAAAAATAAATAAATAAATAAATAAAGATTTTATCTACTAATGATGTATCTACATAAGTTTAACTTGCTTTTGTACCATGATCCAAACCATGACAGATGCATTTCAAAGCTATCTTTCTGCCCACTTTGGCCAATGAACCCATTTGGTTTCCCTGATGCCTCCAGTAAGGATAAGTCCAAGTTGGTATATTCTCATTATATTTGCTAGTGATAATTCCTTTCTTTAAGTTTCTTCTCCTATCTCTTGACTATATTTAGTTTTGCTAATTAGCCTTCCTTTTTGTAAATGGGACTATAGCCTGATGACACTCTACTCTTATTTTTCTATGGTGTCTCCTGTGGTCCTATACCAATTCATGGCTCTAACAATCTTTCTAAGGGTTTGACTCCTGTGCCATATACTCTTAGAATTGGTTTCTCTGCTGAGCAACATATCGAACTCTCTTCCTGTTCTCTAGATACCTAAACACAGACATACTTCTAAACTAGCATGAATTTTTAGAGGCTCTAATCGCTGGAAAGAATGAAATTGATAAACAATGCCAAACTGTAGAGTGCATATAAGAGCATAAGAAACATTGTGATTACCCCCGTATGATTACTTTGCTGCTTCAAGAAAGAAGCTGCTGCTTCTTTGAGCTGTCAAAAATAGTTTCAAAGTATTATTTTCAAATATTTTTCTTATATTTTAGGGGCGCTCCCTCTAAACCCTAACATACGCTTAGCCTGATCATCATTACATTTCAGAGTAGATTCATTTTTTCTTATGTATCCCATTTTGGGTATTATAGTGCCAACATCCTAGTTTACCAGAGGTAAAATTTTGTTAAGTTTATCTAAATCGTCACATTTTATAACAACCTTGACTAACTTGTTATTTTTCTTCCACCTTCCCTTTTATTTTTTCTCTATAGTACTGTTTAGCATTCCAGATAATGCTAGCAGATATTAAAGATAAACCTTAAAATTTTAGTGTTTATAACAGAGCATGTAGTCATTTCAACACTGTGGTTCTTGACATGCTGCCTTCTTCAATACGGGGTTTCCACATCCACCCTGAGCATGGATTATTGAGCTGAAAGATGGGGCAAAAGATGTGGAGCACTCATTTATTGAGGAGAAATTCCATTTACAGACAATTTTATGGTAGATTAAAATAAAGCAAATATTAATTGCAATTGTATAAGTATGTAACAATGCAAAATAGATTGTTCTAAATTCTTTTGTTTTTTATTTAACATCGATGTCTCCCTTGCCTTTGAGAGAGAATATTGCATTGCAAAGCTGATGGGTGTTTGAGTGAAAAAATATATATCAAGCTCATCCTTAATGTAACCTGGTGATCATACTTTGGCTGATATGAGATTGGACATTAGCTTGGAGATGAGCCATTTCATTAAGCCACAGTGACCTTCTCTCTTCACTAAATTTGAGTAGAAGATAAACCTCTTCCAGAAATTAAGTGGTAAATTTTGGGAATGTTCAGAATCAGTACCTTTTATCTTTTTATTCTGTTGTTAGATATGTATGATAGGTTGCAAATAATTTATTTACTTTTGCCTTTTTTTTTATCCTTAACCTTAATTTATCCTTAACCTTTACTTAAAGGAAGTCTAGAAATATGGTGTGACCAGAAAAAAAGTAAAATGAGTGTGGTGAATTTGCATCCAGTTTCTTCCCTACTGTCTAATCTCTGGTGATTATTAACTTTGCCTTAGCTGTAGCCTTTTAAGTAACCTCCTTCTTGCCTCTCCATCCTTTCATTATGCCTCCATTCAAAACTGACACAGAAAGATCCTGTACATATAAGTAGGAATTCAAAGTTTTATAGATCAGCCTAATATGCATTTTCCAAGAATAGCTGCCATTTTGTATTCTATTCTCTAACCAAACCAGACTGTGTATTGTTCCTTGTGCAGGCACAGATTTTTACCATCTTCATACATTTGCTCATATAATTCTAAAACTGCTTGGGAGAAGTGGTACAAATGACCACTCATGAAATCATCCGAAAGTTCCAGGTAGAATTTGCCTTATCCTCCTTTCTGTTCACATAGCAATATGTCTGTAACTAAATCATGGAAATAGTGTATAATGCAATTCCTTTCTCTTCCATGGAAGTATAAGGCAAGAATATCTCATTCATTCAAAATTG
This sequence comes from Homo sapiens, assembly GCF_000001405.40. Taxonomy (NCBI): domain Eukaryota; kingdom Metazoa; phylum Chordata; class Mammalia; order Primates; family Hominidae; genus Homo; species Homo sapiens. The sequence goes on along the minus strand of NC_000006.12, from coordinate 65,661,544 downwards.
TATTATTATTGGAGCCTAAGTGACCTTATGTGTTTATTATTGAGCTAAATAGGAAAATACTTTGTAAGTTATAAAGTTCTGTGAAAGTATTTTAACATTGTAGCATAGCCTTGTGCAAATTTACTCTGTTTAAATTTATATAATCTTTTTAAGCCTCAGTTCCCTCAAGATATGTATAATAATGGTCACTACATGGAAGGGGCATAGAACAAAGCAAGAACAAACACCAAACAAAACCTTTTTTGCTTCTGATATAGCCTGGAAAAAGTTCTCAAAAGATGCTTATTGTTGTAATTAATATTTTACCGTCTCATATATGGTGGTTATATAAACCTATGGTTCTCTGGAGGTGAGATATAGTCCCTAGGTCTCAGAAAGGATCTAAACATTCCTTTGGTAAGGAAGACCATCTTTCCATTATAATCACTTTCTGAATACATTTTGGAAAGTGTTTAGGAGCTGCAGAAAAACAAATAAAAGACTACCACTTATAGACCGAGTTATTTTGAGAATTTAGCATTTAAGCTCTGTAGACTGTACTTACAGCTTATTTCAAGGTACAATTTATATTATTAAATATCGCTTTTATTATCATCATTATCATAATAATCATTGTCACACTAGTGCTACATAGTAGAGTATTAAAGCAATTACATAAAAGCAGTGTGTTACAAAGCAATAAAAGAAGGACACTATGAGTCCTGAGGTGCTTTCTAATTGACTCTTTCAATTTCAAAATATAAGTTTACAAAGCTTCACATGCAAATAAAATGAATTATCAAGAAATTAAGGTGATCACAGTATCAGAAAGTTAATATATCAATTTTCCGTAAGCATTGCATATGTCTGTTATTTCATGTTATATTCAAACGTAATAGGGTACTAAAAATATATAATTGCGTGTGAGTGTGTTTGTGTGAGTATACATATATTTCCCTTACCATAGAAGAACATCTTTTTTCCCAAAAATGTAGAATTCAGGAAATTACAGTACATATGGATATCTGTCTTTAGATGTTCAATTGTTTGTCCTTACAGGTTTCAAAAAGGCGTATAGTTATATAAATTAAACATTAAAATAAAGTGCCATGAAGCGCTTTTCCACTCCTTACCTATGACTAAGTGCTACATGAGGAACTGTCCCCTCATCATATTTCATTTATTTGAAGGTTTATAAATTAAATAAATACAAGAGAAAAGCAGAAAAGCTTAAAAGGAGAGATAGTACATGCAATGGTATACCAAAGAAGAGAAAATAGTTTAAGATTATGGATTCATACTTAAAACAGGGGATCACTAAGTTACCAAAAGGAAAATAGTATTTATTCCCTAATTCTCACTACCCCTATGCAGGACCAGCTTCATGATTTTTTACATTTGCACAGGACTCAATGCTCAAAAGGTTCTTGCTGTTGGTTTCATGATCTTTTGACACCATTTTAAAATTCTGAATAAATTTTTAATAAGCAGCCCCTTATCTTCATTTTGCACTATACCCTGTCATTTATACAGCCAGTCCTGTCCCCAACTATAGTAGAAACCAGTTTATGTGACTAGTCAGTTCACGAAAATTTCTCTTAAACTCATGAACACCCTCCATACTTAGGGGTGGACTTCCAAGAGCTGTTATCTGCAATTCTGACTTCTTGACTACAATAATTTGATTAGCCATAACCTTGTGTGAATTATTTTATTAACCACCTAAAAATGAAAGAAAATATACTCTTCATTGTATAGTAATGGAATACTGTACATAGAATAATAAATAAATAAAATAGTAAGTTCATAAAATTAGTAAATTTGTTTGAAAATTCTAATGTTTGTGTGTCAAAAAAAAGAAATAGAAAGCATAGCAGCTAAGAAGACAGCAAAACATTTTTTCATAGTATATGAATCTAAGGATATTTATTATCTCCTATAAGTCAGTATTTCCAGTTCTCCTCGTGATTCTTTTAACTTTTATCAGCTCAGGTGTTTCTAAAAATTGACCAGGAACAGTATATATACTCCAGTAGTGAATTCAACAATGGCAGGATAAGTTTTACGAATCTTGATGGAAATCTGAGTTTGGTCTCAATCATTGAAATCACCAAAGGCAGAGATTTAGCATAGGATTCCTTATTTTATATTCCAACATTTTACTTTCTAGGATATTTTCTTACGGTTTTCCTTCATAAAGTGCTTAATATGTGAGTGTCATGCAGTTCTGTTTCAAATAAACTTGTATTGCCAGATAGTACTCCTGCACCATAAAAATTGTTGAAAACAAAGTTTCCTTTTGTTAATCCTGGAAAAAAATACTGAATATTATATAGGTTGTTTGTGGCAGAGCAAATAATAAAGGAAGTTAAAAAAGTTATCTGCAATACTTTTATCTTTCCTTCTTAAAAATAAAAATCTAAAGGAACATTTTCAAGTTCTTCCAGGATATTGATATGTAAGGCTATAAATTAAATAAATCAAGAGAGATTTAAATTAACTACAAAAACAATAGGATCTAGATAAACTAAGAGTGGAATAAAGCTGCACCCATGTGGTCTTCAAAAAGAGAAAAAGAAAAAGATTCTGGAGAGTGTGAGAATAAAGCTAAACAAACCTTCTAGACCTTTCATTAAAAAAAAGAAAAAAAAGGTTTAAAGATCATTTTTATAATGCTTGCTATATGAGATACAATGTATTCTTTCCTTTATCCCCATCCCAAGACAATATCTGTAAACACAATATGATTTGCCAGTGTGCTTAGAGTTGGGTTAGTGTTGGAATTGGCAAGTAGGGAGGTGGAGATGCTCCATATAAAGTTAGGAAAGGCTGCAGTTCAATTCCATATATGTTACATGTGTATCATAATTTAAAATTTAACTTTCCTCATTTACTTCTGGGCAATGTTTTACTTTTAAGTATGTTTCCATTAAGCAAACATTAAATTTGAAATATACTGAATATCTGAGTAGATTGATCACTCAAAATACAATCATGTTAGTCATAGTTATCATTATTCATAGTTTTCAGGGAGTTTATTAATATTTTAACTATATTTTACTAATCTAAGTTTTTAAAGAAATAAACTTTTCATTTTATAATAGTTTTAAGTTTATGGAAGAGTTGCAGGAATATTAGTCTTCTCTTAAATTTCACACCTAGTTTCCCCATGATACATCTGTTGCAACTAATGAACTGATATTGATACATTATGATTAACAAAAGTCCATACAGTTTTCAGATTTTTATAGTTTTTATGTCATTTCATTTTTCTGTTATAGGGTCCTATATAGGACATTATTTTACATTTGGTGGTCTTATCTCCTTGAGCTCATATAGACTGTGACAGTTTCTCAGACTTTCCTTGCTTTTGATAATACAGGCATACCTCATAGATATTGTGAGTTCAGTTCCAGGCAACCTCAATAAAGTAAATCCCACAAGCTATTTGGTTACCAGCACATATAAAGCTTATGCTTACACTATACTGTAATCTATTAAGTGTGCAATAACATTATGCCTAAAAAACAATGTGCATATCTTAAATTAAAAATACTTTCTTGCTAAAAAATTCCAGTGATCATCTGACTCTCCAGCAAGTTATGATGTTTGTGCTGGTGGAGGATCTTGCCTCAATATTGGCTTTTGCTGACTGATGAAGGAAGGTTGGGATATCTTTGACAATTTCTTAAAATAAGACAACAATAAAGTTTGATACATCAATTAACTTCCTTTCATGAAAGATTTTTCTGTAGCACGCAATGCTATTTGATAACATTTTACCCACAGTAGAACTTCTTTCAAAATTAGAGTCAATCCTCTCAAACCCTGCCACTGCTTTCTCAACTAACTTTATGTAATATGCTAAATCCCTGTTATTTCAACGCTGTTCACAGCATCTTCACCAGGAATAGATTACATCTCAAGAAACCACGTTATTTGCTCATCCATAAAAAGCAATTCTCATCTCTTCAAGTTTGATCATGAGATTACAGCAATTCAGTCACATCTTTCAGCTCCTCTCCCACTTCTAGTTCTCTTGCTATTTCTACCACATCTGCAGTTACTCCCTCCATTCAAATCTTGGGTCCTCAATGTCATCTATGAGATTTGGAATCAACTTTTTCCAAACTTCTAGTATTGTTGATATGTTGACTTCCTACCATGAAACACTAATGTTCTTAATGGAATTTAGAATGGTGAATCTTTTCCGGAAGATCCCTCAGAGAAATCACGATCTACGGCATCTGTAGCCTTATGAAATTTATTTCTTAAACAATAAAATTTGAAAGTAAAAATCACTCCTCAATCCATGGGCTACAGAAGGATATTTTGTTAGCAGGCATGAAAGCAACATGCTTCTCCATTGTATACCTCTGTTAGAACCCTTGAGTGACCAGGTGCATTATCTATAAATAGTAATATTTTGAAACAAATCTTTTCCTGAGCAGTATGTCTCAAGAGTGGGCTTAACATAGTCAGTAAATCATGCTGTAAACAGATGTGCTATCATTGAGGCTTTGTTCCTCCATTTCTAGAGGACAGGCAGAGTAGATTGAACATAATTCTTAAGGGGCCTAAAATGTTCAAAATAGTAAATGAGATTCAGTTTCAACTTTAAAATCACCAGCTACATTAGCCTCTAACAAGAAAGTCAGCCTGTCCTTTGAAGCTGTGAAACCAGGCATTGACTTCTGTTCTCTAGCTATGAAATTCCTATTTGGATATTCTTCTCATATTAAACTGTTTTGTTTCCATTGAAAATCCATTGTTCATCTTAATCATCTTCATCAATTATCTTAGCTAGATCTTCTGAATAACTTGCTGCAGCTTCTACATTAGCACTTGCTGCTCTACTTTGCAGTTTTATATTATAGGAATGACTCCTTTCTGTAAACCTCATGAACAAACATCTGCTAGTTTCAAACTTCTTTTCCAGCATCTGAGGTAATGACTTCCCAGTTACTTTCAAACTTTTCTTCTGTAACTTCCTCATCTCTCTGTCTTCACGTAATTGAAGAGAGTTAGAACCTTGCTACAGATTAAACTTTGGCTTGGGCAAATGTTTTAGCTGGTTTTATCTTTTATCCAGATCACACAGCCATAAGCCTGTTTTTATCATTCATACGTTCACTGAAATAGCACTTTCCCTCACGAACTTCCGCTTTGCATTCATAACTTGGTTAACTGTTTGGTGCAAGAGGCCTGGCTTTCAACCTATCTCAGCTTTCAGCCTGCCTTCCTCACTAAGCATAATCATTTCTAGCTTTTGATTTTAAATGAGAGATGTGCTACTCTTCCTTTCACTTGAAGATTTAAAGGCTATTGTAGAGTTTCTAATTGGCATAATTTCAATATTGTTGTTTCTCAAAGAATAGAGAGACTGAGGAGACGGGGAGGAAAGAGGGAATCGCCAGTGGGTGGAGCAGTCAGAATACATACATTTGTTGATTAGGTTTGTGATCTTATATGGGCATGGTTTGTGGTGCCCCAAAACAATTACAATGGTAACACCAAAGGTCACTAATCACCTTAACAGATATAATAATGAAAACGTCTGAAATATGGTGAGAATTACGAAAATGTGACGCAGAGACACGAAGTGAGCACATGGTGTTGGAAAAATGACACCAATGTACTTCTTTCAAAATTAGAGTCAATCCTCTCAAACCCTGCCACTGCTTTCTCAACTAACTTTATGTAATATGCTAAATCCCTGTTATTTCAACATTGTTCACAGCATCTTCGCCAGGAATAGATTACATCTCAAGAAACCATGTTATTTGCTCATCCATAAAAAGCAACTCTCATCTCTCCAAATTTGATCATAAGATTGCAGCAATTCAGTCACATCTTGCTGGACACAGTTAACACAACCCTTCAATTTGTTAAAAAACAAACAAACAAATAAAAAAACACACAGCATCAGCAAAGCACAATAAAACAAAGTAGGCCTATTTTAAAAGTGTTGAGGAACATGATGAGATATTTTATGAAAAATCCTTAAGTCTGGGTTTTTCTCATGGCTAGATATGGTTTATCTATTTCAAGGAAAATAAAGAGGTAAAGTGCCATTTTCATTGTACCATTTCAAGGGGATACACTATCAACATATATTTATAATTGGTATATATACTATATATACTATAAACAACAACTTATTAATGATGTTAACCTTGATTAACTCACTAAAGCAGTATTTTCCAGGTATCTTGATTGTACAGATGTTATTTTTCCCCTCATTTTCATACTATATTCTTTAGAAGGAAGTCACTATATGCATCTCACACTTAAGTGGTGAGCAGTTATGCTGTATCTACTTGATGGCAGAGTATTTAAATAAATTATTGAGAATTCTCTATAAATTATTTGGAATTTTTCTAATACTGAGTTTTCAATGTCATCCAGAAACTTATCTCTAAATCCAATTTCATTTGTATTACACAAAATTAATAATACATTTTAATTATAAAAATGCATTGAGTTACTACAAATTCCTGTTATGAATAGAAAAGTAATTCTCATGAAGATATTTTATTCCTGCTCTAAAATCTTGGACAAACATTTTTTTTTTTTTTTTTTTTTTTAATGAATGACCCAGACTCTTCAGGAAGACAAGCACATTTTAATTTGGACATATTTCCATATGTGAAACTTTGACTTACCTGTTTTAGAATATCTTTTAAAAACAAATTACCATAGTTGTATATGGTAAACTTAATGAGCTGGTCTCTGGTACCACTTTGTGTCTCTCCGTGGTATGGTCCTAAATCATTTCTTTCGGTGATCTCACTTTTGTCAGGTAATTCTCAGGAACAATTTTAGTTCTTTTTCCCTTTTATTGAGCGTTTCTTGACTCAATTCAGTGAACAATACTTGTGAGAACAGAAGTGAGTGACCTTTTTAATGGACTCTCAGCTGGTATAGGGATGTCTCTGTAACCTTTTGACACCCAGTACTATGTAGCTCAGAATCTTTAACACTTTAGATGTAATTTCTGATATCTATCAGTTTTGAGGAAAACCAAATTTAAACCTTACAGTGGCAGGTCAAAAACTGGGAAGTCATTACCTCAGATGCTGGAAAAGAAGTTTCCTCAAGAGTAAATAAGATAATGGTCCATTTATTAACCATTTGGAAAAATCTTTGGGTTGTCAAAGAATAATATCCACGCCCAAGAGTTGTGTTTTCCTCTCCTACAGGATTTCTTGTATACAATCTTATTTATTCCAAGTAATAAAATAAGCCAATTACAGAAGCTCAGGTCTGTGAGTAACTATTACAGAAAGGCAAAGGAAAGTGACACATATACTATGAATTCATAGGCTATTTCTGGCTGAAATAGTTTCATGCTACCTTTTTTAAAAGAAACTTTCACACTTTGAGAAAATTGTTTTGAGAACTAATAAATAATGAAATGAGTAAAGCCGAGGGGTTGTCTTGTCAATTTATGACTAACTCTGAAGTATTTAGTGGGCATGCTAAAAACAAAAATAAGTATAAATACTTCTAATAATCCTATAACTTTTTATATCAATGAAACTTACTTTTCTTCAGTATGAAGGACTGTCAGATATCCATGGCAGGAAATGAAAATGGCAGCTCGGGTTGTGGTGGCTGTGTTGACCTAAAAAGTGAGGGCAGAAGATACAGACATATTTTTGCTTCTGGAAGTTGCCTTCCTATGTCCTTATAGATGACACAAAGGATGTGAGATGTAGAGGACACTTGGACTTTGCCAATGCATTAAACCTGCTAGTAACTGGTTATTTCCTAAAAAGCTCTTATAAGAGGAAATAGGGTTCTCTAAAGTCACCACTCTTCGGCTATGTCAAAAATCTGACTCTATTTGCCTGTCCTTGAGATACAGTGCTGAATATAAACAGATCCTGGAATGGGAGAGATGACAAACCAGTGCAGTTCAACATGGTGTTGCTGTAAATCTAGAAGACTTACATGAGTCAGAATTAAAAGTTGGATTGCCCGCAAATCAATTTAAATGTTGTGAATACGGCAATGATATGATATCTGAGCTGAAGTGGGTTCCTGTATAAAATTAAATGGGTTCTGAAATTTAATTGTCTCAGTGGCACCAGTATCCTAATGGGGCTCTGAAATCAGTGTATATCAAAGCTTGTGCTAGGCAAACTTGTTTGGTGGCAATTTTATCTTCATTGTTACTTTATATCTCTAGATTCACTCTTTTTATCAAGTTATTTGATAATTTGGTCCCCCTTACATATAAACTATGCCCATCCTGGGTGTGTTTGACCAATGATTTGTTCTTTTCTTGCTGTGCTCTGTGTAACAGGACTGATAATCTTGTATTTTCTGGGCAACCCTGTCATCTGCTTCTGGGTGGTTTTGGACAAAGGTAGGCACAGATAAAAATTAAGTGAAGAAATAGAAAACACAGGGTATTTCTCTCTCCCTCGCCCTTTCTCTCTGAATTAGGTAGTATCCAGAATCTGTGTATCCTTTGTGGCTCCCACTTTTTCAGGACATGTCCACATGATTGTAGCTTCTGCCTGTTAACACTATCTTCTGGCTTAGGTTGAACCTCCTCTTCGTTTATCCCTCCTAATTAGTATTGGTAGTGACTTCCTACTGGGAGATATTTGGCTTCTCCATCATCTGTGTAGCCAAACCTCTGCATTACAGTCCTGTTATGGAAAATAAATGATTTCTTATATCCTGGATAGTTATCACTGATTCAAAATGTAGTTATTTAACATAAGTACAATCTCATGATTCATTAAACTAAGCTCATGTTGATATTAGATAACTGATATTTCATCTGCACCCTTCCTGCCTTAAAGATCTAGACAATATCAGCTCAAAATTTTACTGTATTTTAGGGGAAAGTTCAATATTCTCCCTAGTATGTCTTTACATTCCTGATGTTCTCTTTTTTTAGTGACCTCTAGCTAAGAGTTCCATCTTCTTCTAAATTATTCAAGCTTATTAATTTTCTTTTCACTGAGTAGGTGCTCTCTATATTTACACTAACTACACAGAAGTGGAATCAGTCCTTTCTGTGATTTGAACATACATTAAAAAATTTCAAAATATGAAAAAAGTGACACCAACAAGCCATCCAATGCCACCACCATTACACTTCTCTGGGATATTTTCTTTCTCTTCCTGTCTCCTCCTCCCTATCCTCCTTAACTTCAGCACAATTTTTCCTCCAATTGCCTCAATAAACATCTAACTCGTTTCTTCTACTTTTCAAAACAATTTTCAAAGTCAACTACAAAATTACTTCTGCATCTATAACTCCATCATAGTGTTCAGTGAGCAAAAAAATAAATTATTTCATTTCATAAGATGTATACCCTTTAGTCAGCAGTATTGTTTGCAAAAAGCATTTTTCTTTTATTTCACATGAATCAATTCTTTGATTTCATTTATCATTTTCCTTCCTCAAGCCATTCCAGCTTCCCTCTAGTTTGAGCTACACATTTTTATAGTTGTTTTAATTATTGATGTTTTGCTTTTATTTATTTTAATTCTACATACATCAGAAAAAAATGGAGCTTCTATTGTGTCTAATACCATCAAAGTGAGATGGAGCCTAGGGATTTAGTGTAAAAAAAAAGAATCTTTTATATGTTTTTCTCTCTTTCCAGGAGTTCTCAATTTAGCGTATTAGTTATTTATTACTGCATAATAAATTATCCCAAATAACAATGGTTAGTTTATTTTTTCAGTATGACTGCTAATATAGCACTGAAAATATACCTTGGATTAAAGAGACTGGTTACACAACTACAGCAGAAATTTTGACTGGATGATAGGAGACTCTGGATTTTTTACAGAAAAAGAGAGAACTGGATAGTTTCAAAAGTAAACATGAAAGTAAGGACATAATGAGATAAGAGAAGAAATAAAGTAAGACTTCCAAGATTCTAGCCTGCATCCTCTAGTGGTTGCTGTATTATTCATTCATTTACAAAGAAGGAAGAGTTTTGCAACTGGAGAGGGGAAATGATGTCTTATGCTTTTAAAAATTTAAGTTTGAAATATTTATAGGAGATATACATGAAGATATCATAAGATTAAATATAAACCTAGGACTCAAAGAAAGTTATAGAAGAGACAATGGCAGTCAATATCAGATATATATGTACAGAAACACTATTGAATTAATATAAACATTGTCTCCAAAGAAACCGAAGTTTCTTTCTAAAATTGAAATCCAAGCTCTCTTACAAGCCTATATTTTCTGACAGTAACATTAAATAAGTATATATATTTTAGACCATTCTTCTGTTTTTTTTCACTTATTTTTCTGATCTAAAAATTTAAACAGTTCCTTTAGGTAAAAGCATGCAAGGTCATTCCTTGGAAAATGATCAGCTTCTTTGATTTCCACCCATTTGGAGTAGCTTTCTCTAGTACAATTTATAATTGATAATATTAACATGTCCCTGAATTCTCTAAGACTTTTGCCACTATATAATTTAATAGACATTAGACATTTTATTATATTAATAAAGGTTTTTATATTTAAATTTGTTGAAAACTGCTACCTTGTTATCCAGCACTTTCATTTTCAAAACATAAGTGAATTCAGTCCCATTTTCTTGCAGCTCAACTCTCTGAAGCAAACTAATGTGATAAAATAATCCCTGTTATGGTGTTGATGAATGATAATGAAGTCAGTGACACTCCCATTTAGATATTTTATTTGCATTTTAAAAGGAACCTCCTAGATATGTAGGATCTGTAAAAATAAGATAAAACAGTAATAGAGATTAGTAGATGGGCAAATGTGAGAGTATAAGCAGGACACTCAGCAGCTAGAGCTGTTTTTGCTCTCTGTGTACCCTCAGTCTGGACTGCTGTGAATGTTGTTTCCCCAGAAGAAAACATCCTCCCGAAACGCTTGTAAATTTGAACTTCAACAAAAATTGTCTCAAAATGCAAGAATAGAGGGAAAATAATTTATCATTCGTTTTTGCCTTTGATGTCAATGATCGAGCAGAGAATCCTGTTTACCTTTAACATAAATGACAGTAAAGCCACACAAAGTATTCTGAAATAACCATTGCAATATTTCAAACTCACCTGGGGTCTGGCAATACACTGCAGGTCTAAAATCAAAATGAAATAAAATAAATATATGGCTACTGTGTTACAACCCAGCCTGGCATGCTAAATAGTGTTAATCTCTTCAAGCCTAGATTTTAGTTTAATTGTGAGACTGAGAATCTGTTATGAGTATAGCCTTATAACCTTCAGACCTCAAAGAGAGCATTGTGTGTTGAGTTGGAAGAGCTGTGTTTGAGTTCTTATTCAGCCTATAGATATGTAACAAAGGGCTAATGTTTTCTATTTAAAGTATTATATGGTATAGATACTCAGTCTTTTCTCTCTATTTTGCCTGCCTTCATTCAGAATAAGTTATGTAGGCAATGAGAATGCTCAGATAACACTGAGAATACTCAGATAAAAAACTGCTTTCCCTTCATTCACAGAAAGTTTTGTAAACCATTAAATAATTCAGATAAAACACTGAAAACACAGGCATCCTTTTCCTGCAAAATATATCCATTTTAATACATTTAATGCTAGTTTTAAATCATTCTTAAGTAGTGTATATTTAACTAATATTTTAGAATGCATTTTTAATGAAATTTTATTCATGAATTTTAACTCTTTTGACATTCTGTATGTTTCTATGTAAATTAAATGTGTTTTCTTTCACCCATTGTCATCTACAGGTGACTTTTGGTTCATCCTCTGTGTCATTTTACCACTCTAGTGACAGAAATGTGGGGCTCAATGACACATCATTACATCGATGCTATTCACACCTATTAAAAAACAAATTCCTTCATACTGAATTTGTAAAAAAACAATCTAAATAGTTCTGATCTAGAGAAAGGAGCGAACTCATCAATGGTCTAATAAAAAAGAATGGAGTATTACTTTAAAGAAATTACAAATGGAGTTCTATTTTGCATGTATCAGCATTTCATGGATCAAACCAGTTCAATCCTCGTTTCTGGCATCAAACTTATCTTATGAAATCACTTATTTTTATTTATAATTTAAATGGATATTTGATGATTATATGTTTGATGAAGAGTAAACAATAAGGTTCATTATATTCTTAGTAATCAGCTTCTTTTAGTTTCAGTTATTACAAATGCACATGGATGTGTGTATGTGTGTGTGTGTGTGTTTTAAGATTGGACACACTTTCAGAAAAGAACCTATGCTATACACATTATGCACAAACACATAGGTTAAGGTCTTTGAAAAGGCGTCCAATCTTGAAAACAAAACAAACAAAACAAAACACATACAAAACTCTTGCTAGAATAAAGGAAATCATAGAAAATAGTTGGGTCTTGCAAGTAATGTCAATTTTTATTGTTTAAGTTTTTCTTTTTTCCTTTTTTTTTTTTTTTTTTTTTGAGACAGAGTCTCGCTCTGTCGCACAGGCTGGAGTGCAGTGGCGCGATCTCAGCTCACTGGCCTCCCAGGTTCAAGTGATTCTCCTGCCTCAGCCTCCCGAGTAGCTGAGACTACAGGTGTGTGCCACCATGCCCAGCTAATTTTTTGTATTTTTAGTAGAGATGGGGTATCAGCATGTTAGCCAGGATGGTCTCTATCTCCTGACCCCGTGATCTACCTTCTCCTCAGCCTCCCAAAGTGCTGGGATTACAGGCATGAGCCACCAGGCCTGGACACTTTTTAAAAATCTTTTGTTCCCTTTCTTACATGTGTAAAAGCCTAGGTGGAATAGTGCGTTGTTCAGCCACCAATTTCAGTTAAATGTGAATGAAGGTTGTTTTCTTTTTTCTTCCCTTTTCTCTGTTTGTTTTATAAATTGATTTTTTTTTTATTTCAATAGGTGTTTGGGGAACAGGTGGTGTTTGGTTATATGAATAAGTACTCTAATGGTGATTTCTGAGATTTTGGTGCACCCATCACCCAAGCAGTGTACAATGTACCCAATGTGTACTCTTTTACTCCTCACGACCCTCCCACCATTTCTCCCAAGTCCCCAAAGTCTATTGTATCATTCTTATGCCTTTGTGTCCTCATAGCTCTGTTCCCACATATGAATGAGAACATACGATGTTTGGCTTTCCATTCCTGAGTTACTTCACTTAGAATAATAGTCTCCAATACCATCCAGGTTGCTGCAAATACCATTATTTCATTCCTTTTTATGGCTGTGTAGTATTCTATGGTATACACACACACACACACACACACACACACACACACACATATATTTTCTTTATCCACTCATTGATTGATGGACATTTGGGTTCATTCCATTTTTTGCAATTGCAGATTCTGCTGCTATAAACATGTGCGTGCAAGTATCTTTTTGTTATAATGACTTATTTTCCTCTGGGTAGATACCTAGTAATGGAATTGCGTGATCAAATGGTAGATCTACTTTTAATTCTTTAAGGAATCTCCACATTGTTTTCCATAGTGGTCGTATTAGTTTACATTCCCACCAACAGTGTAAAAGTGTTTCCTTTTCACCACATCCACGCCAAGATCTATTATTTTTTATTTTATTTTGGCCATTCTTGCAGCAGTAAGATGGTAGCACATCGTGGTTTTGATTTGTATTTTCCTGATAATTAGTGATGTTACGCATTGTTCTATATGTTTGCTGGCCATTTGTATATCTTTTTTTGAGGATTGTCTTTTCATGTCCTTAGCCCACATTTTGCTAAGATTTTGTTTGTTTTTTTGTTTGTTTCTCACTGATTTGTTTGAGTTCTTTGTAGATTCTGCATATTAGTCCTTTGTTGGATATATAAATTGTGAAAATTTACCCCCAATTACTGGGTTGTCTGTTAACTCTGCTAATTATTTATCTTGTTGAGCAAAAGCTTTTTGGTTAATTAACTCCCATCTATTTACAATATCTTTGTTTTTGTGGCATTTGCTTTTGAGTTCTTAGTCATGAACTCTTTGGCAAAGCCAATGTCTGCAATGGTTTTTCTGATGTTATATTCTAGAATCTTTATGGTTTCAGGTCTTACATTTAAGACTTTGATGCATCTTGAGTTGATTTTTATATAAGGTGAGAGATGAGGATCCAGCTTCATTCTTCTACATGTGGCTTGCCAATTATCCCAGCATCATTTGTAGAATAGTTTGTCCTTTCCCCACTTTATGTTTTTGTTTGCTTTGTCAAAGATCAGTTGGCTGTAAATATTTGGCTTTATTTCAGGGTTATATATTCTGTTCCATTGGTCTATGTGCCTATTTTTATACCTGTACCATGCTGTTTTGGTGACTATGGCTTTATAGTATAGTGTGAAGTCAGGTAATGTGATACCTGCAGATTTATTCTTTTTGCTTAGTCTGGCTTTAGCTATATGGCCTCTGTTTTAGTTCCGTATAAATTTTTCAGATTGTTTTTTCTAGTTCTGTGAAGAATGATGGTGGTATTTTAATGAGCATTGCATTTAATTTGTAGGTTGCTTTTGGCAGTATGGTCATTTTCATGATTTCGATTCTACCCATGAGATGAGCATGGAATGTGTTTCCATTTGTTTGTATCGTCTGTGATTTCTTTCAGTAGTGTTTTGTAGTTTTCCTTGCAGAGGTCTTTCATCTTCTTGGTTAGGTATTTTTTGAAGTATTTTATTTTTTATGCTGTTATTGTAAAAGTGGTTCTTAATTTGATTCTTAGCTTGGTCGCTGCTGGTGTATAGCAAAGCTACTGATTTGTGTACATTAATTTTGTATCCTGAAACTTTGCTGAGTCATTCATCAGTTCTAGGAGCTTTTTAGATAAGTCTTTAGGGTTTTCTAGGTATACGATCATATCAGCAGACAGTGACAGTTTGACTTCCTCTTTACCAAATTGGATGTCTTTTATCTCTTTCTGGTCTGATTGCTCTAGCTAGAACTTCAAGTACTGTGTTGAATAGAAGTGGTGAAAGTGGGCATGCTAGTCGTGTTCTGGTTCTCAGAAGGAATGCATTCAGCTTCTTCCCATGCAGTATAATGTTGGCTGTGGGTATGTCATAGATGGTTTTTATTACCTTAAGGTATGTCCCTTCTATTCCACTTTTGTTGAAGGTTTTATTCATAAAGGATGCTGTATTTTATCAAATGCTTTGTCTGCATCTATTGATATAATCATGTGACTTTCGTTTTTAATTCTGTTTATGTTGGGTATCACATTTATTGACTTGCAGATATTAAACCATCCCTGCATCCCTGGTATAAACCCACTTGATCATAGTGGATTATCTTTTTAATATGATGTTGCATTTCATTAGCTAGTATTTTGTCCTTGTGCTCAACAGGGATATTGGTCTGCAGTTTTTTTGTTCTTGTTGTAGTTGTGATGTCCTTCTCTGGTTTTGGTATTAGGGTGATACTGGCTTTATAGAATGATTTAGGGAGGATTCCGTCTTTCTTTACTTTGTGGAATAGTATCAGTAGAATTCGTTTGAATTCTTCTTTGAATGTCTGAAGGAATTCAGCTGTGAATCCATCTGATTCCGCACTTTTTTTAGCTGGGAATTTTTTTTATTACCATTTCAATCTCGCTGCTTGTTATTGGTTTGTTCAGAGTTTCTTTATCTTCCTGGTATATTCTAGGAGAGTTGTTTCTTTCCAGGAATTTAACCATCTCCTCTAGGTTTTCTAGTTTATGTGCATAAAGGTGTTCGTAGTAGACTTGAATAATCTTTTGTATTTCTGTGGTATCAATAGTAATATCTCCCATTTCATCTCTAATTGAGCATACTTCAAACTTCTCTCTTCTTTTCTTGGTTAATCTCACTAACAGCCTATCAATTTTATTTCTCTTTTCAAATAACTAGCTTTTTGTTTCATTATCTTTTGTAGTTTTTTTGTTTCAGTTTCATTTAGTTCTGATCTTATATTCATTATTTATTTTCTTCTGCTCTGTTTGAGTTTGTATGGTTCTTGTTTCTCTGGTTCCATGAGGTGTGACCTTAGATTGTCTATTTGTGCCCTTTTAGACTTTTTGATATAGGCATTGAATCCTATGAACATTCCTCTTAGCACCACTTTTGCCGTATCCCAGAGGGTTAGATAGGTTGTGTCACTATTATTCAGTTCAAAACGTTTTTAATATCCATCTTCACTTTATTGTTGACTGCTGATCAATCAGGAACAGTTTATTTAATTTCCATGTATTTGCATGGTTTTGAAGGTTCCTTTTGGAGTTGATTTCTAGTTTTATTCCACTGTGGTCTGAGAGAGTACTTTATATAATTTTGATTTTCTTAAATTTACTGAGACTTATTTGTGGCCTATCATATGGTTTATCTTGTAGAATGTTCCATATGCTGATGAACAGAATGTATATCCTGCAGTTGTTGGGTAGAATGTTCTGTAAATATCTATTAAATCCATTTGCTGTAGGGTATAGTCTAAGTCCATTGTTTCTTTGTTGACTTTGTATCTTAATGACCTGTCTAGTGCTGTCAGTGGAGTGCTAAAGTCCCTATATTAGTTCATTTTCAACATTAGTACTGAGATGTGAGGTATTATTATCCTATTCATCATGCTATTTGTTGCCTGAATACCTTGTTTGTTTCATTGTGTTATTGTTATATAAGTCCTGTGAGATTTATGCTTTAAGGAGGTTCTATTTTGGTTTATTTTGAAGTCTTATCACTCCTTTTAGCGGTTCTTGTAGTGCTGGCTTGGTAGTGGCGAATTCTCACAGCTTTTGTTTGACTGGAAAAGACTGTATCTTTCCTTCATTTATAAAGCTTATTTCAGTGGATACAAAATTCTCGGCTGATAATTGTTTTGTTTAAGGAGGCTAAAAATAGGACCCCCAATCTCTTCTGGCTTGCAGGATTTCTGCTGAGAAATCTGCTGTTAATCTGATAGGTTTTTCTTTATAGGTTACGTGATGCTTTTGCCTCACTGCTGTTAAGATTCTTTCCTTTGTCTTGACTTCAGATAACCTAATGACTATGTGCCTAGGCAATGATCTTTTTGCGATGAATTTCCCAGGTGTTCTTTGAGTGTTTTGTATTTGGATGTCTAGATCTCTAGCAAGGCTGGGGATGTTGTCTTTGATTGTTCTCTCAGGTATGTTTTCCAAACTTTTTGATTTCTCTTCTTCCACGGAAACACCAATTATTCTTAGGTTTGAATGCTTAACATAGTCCCAAACTTTTTGTAGGCTTTGTTCATTTATTTATTACTTTTTTGTCTTTGATGGATTGGGTTAATTTGAAAGCCTTGTCTTCAAGCTCTGAAGTTCTTTCTTTTGCTTGTTCTATTCTATTGCTGAGACTTTCCAGTACACTTTGGATTTCTCTAAGTGTATCCTTCTTTCTATAAGTTGTGATTGTTTTTATTTATGCTATCTATTTCACTGAAGGTTTTTTCTTTAATAACCTGTATCATGTTTTTGATTTCAAGTTGGATTTCACTTTACTCTGATGCCTCATTGATGAGCTTAATAATCAACCTTCTGAATTTTTTTCTGGCAATTCAGAGATTTCATCTTGGTTTGGATCCATTGCTAGTGAGCTGGTATGATCTTTTAAGGGTGTTAAAAAACCTTGTTTTGTCATGTTACCAGAATTGTTTTTATGTTTTCTTCTCATTGGGTAGACTATGTCAGAGGGAAGATCTGGGACTCAAGAGCTGCTGTTCAGATTTTTTTGTCCCACCGCGTGCTCCCTTGATGTGGTATTCTTGTACCCCCTCCCCCTAGGGATAGGGCTTCTTGAGAGGTGAACTTCAGTGATTGTTTTCGCTTTTTTGGATCTAGCCACCAAGCAGAGGTACTGAGCTCTGGGCTGGTACTGGAGAGTCCTCTGATGTGATTCATCTTCAGGTCTTTCAGCTGTGGATACCAGTAACCTGCTCTGGTGGAGATAGTAGGGGAGTGAGGTGGACTCTGTGAGGGTCTTTGGTTGTGTTTTTGTTCAGTGCACTGGTTTTGTGTTGGTTGCCCTCCAGGCAGGAGGTGGCACTTTCAAGAGTGCATCAGCTGTGGTACTATAGGGAGGATGCAAACTTGCCCTAGGAATGTCTGGTTAAGTATTCAGGTTTCTCAGCCAGTGGACAAGGCCATAGAGCTCCCAAGAGATTATGTCCTTTTTCTTTGGCAACTACACTGGTTAGAGAAAGACCACCGGGTGGTAGCAGGGATAGGCATGTCTTAGTTCAGGCTCTCCTTGGGTGGGGCTTGCTGCAGCTGCTGTGTGGAATGGGAATGTGGTTCCCAGGCCAATGGAGTTATATTCCCAGGTGTATTAGGTTGCCTCTGCTGAGTCGTACAGGTCACCAAAGAAGTGGGGGAAAGTCAGCAGTCGCAGGACTCACCCTGCTCCCACACAGCCCACAGTCCTAAAGGCCAGTCTTACTCCCACTGTGTCCCCCCAACAACACTGAGTCTATTTTTAGGCAGCTGGTGACCAGGGCTGAGAACTTGCCTCAGACCACCAGCATCCCTGCTGAGAAAGCAAGTACACTCACAATGTTTTGGCATCTCAGGGAGCCTGCAGTAGCAATCCAGTTCCTTCAAAGGGTCAGATAATTCTCTCAGCTTTCCTGGTATTTTCCTGTGGTAGTTCTTGGAGCAAAATTTTATGATGTAAGTCTTCACACACTGCTCTGTCTGTCCAAGCAGGAACTGCAAGCTAGTCCTGCCTCCTATCTACATTTTTAATCAAAGCTCTCTAAATTATTCTTAAAGTTATTTTCTGGAGGCTAGGTGTTTCCCATAATGGGAGGATTGTTTGTACAAACAATTCTATTAAAAACTTCTAAAAATCTGCGTAAGATATATTTTAAAATATCTTCTTAAAATCACTGCAGGTCTTGTAAGAAAAGAAATACTTATTAGACTGAAATCACAGGGAAAACTAGAACTAATAGAAGTATTTGTTAGTTACATAAATGTGAATATTTGTATTGACCTATCTATAGTTAAAAAATATAGAACAAAATGAAGAGTCTAACAGGTAAGTGTCCCACAATAAGTTGCTACCTAATAAATACACCTTTGGGACAAAGGTGAATAAAAAAAAATAAAATGATTGGCTTTCTTGAAGAATTGTAGCCCAATTTTAAAAGTCTGGAGGCTTCAGTAATCTAACGTATTCAAATTGTTGAATGTGACTGAGGACAAGTAATGCCCCCGTTGACTGAAACAAACAGAAATCCTCTCTGGATGAAGGCTTTCCTTCATCTCAGTCCTCTAATTATTCCTACAAATAATTATGCAGTGCTTAATTATGCTTAATTATACAGTTAATTATGTGTAATGCTTAGCTCGATCAAAGGTAGCCAGGTACATAAAGTAAAAACACACCAAAAGCATGTACCCACCGAAACACAAACAACAAAATAAATAGACCCAGAAGTACATCCTATTGAAATCATCAGGGAGAGCACAAAATAATTTATCCTTTTTTGGCCATGCTTTTATTCAACAAATATGTATTGAGTACCTCTCAGATACTCAGAACTCCTCGAGGCCCTATATATTCAGTTATGGATAAAATAAGCAAATCTATTTTTTATAAGGACTTTACAATCTAGTGTGATGTTAAACAAGGAGAACTTATTTATTACTTAGGAACTGGTCCAAGCTTTGGTTCGAGCTCAGTTGTTTCTAAATCTTTTCGTGGATTACTCTGTGAGATGACTAATTCCAGGCCAGAAAGACCACTAGAGCCCAGGAGGTCAAGGCAGAAGAAACTCTTAAGCTTTTTAACTTAAAGAAGTCAAAGACAAAAGTTAAGGACATCAACAGAAACAGGGAAATAAAATGTGATGCTACAGATGTAAAAAAGGATATAAAGAACATAAAGATCTCCAAAATTTAATAAATTAAAAATTCATTGCATAGACCTCATAGCTAATTATATACAAGGATGTGAAGTTAGTGTTCTTAAAAAGAGTGCAGTAAAACAGTACGCAGTACAGACAAAGTTCAACCATGTGAGCACTACCACTGTAAGTAATACAGAATAGGACATTTATTATAGCACTAAAACTTTAGACAACTACACAAGACACTGGGTAAGTAAGGGTCAGAATGGGTGAGTTAGAGGATCAGAAAAATTTGCTCTCCTCCTCTCTGAAGAACCAGTATGGGTGGACAAATTAGAACTTGCCAGAGATCTCAGAAACCAGGCATGGCTGACTTGCAGAATGGGACCATTAAGGAGAACTAGTGGAGACATCTGTGTCAGGGTATTGCCTTTGCATCTGAGATGGAGTAGGCCTGAGGTCACTCTTGGTCAATAGGGCTAGCAGGTGAATATTACAAATGCAGAGTTGGGAAGAGTATGGTTAATTTTGAATTTGCTTCTCTGAGCGTTGATGCTTCTGGTTCTTACAGCCTAACACCAAAACAACCAACAGAGGTTATGGCTGTTGCTTCCTCTCCACTTTCCAAATCATGTACCAACTTCTATTTTGGCCCACTATAACCTGGAAGCATATAGGGAAGCACATATGGAAAACATATTTCTAGCTAAGCTAAGTTTACACTGTAAAAAACACCACAAGCATGGGAGACAAAGAAATAAAAGGAAAATACAGGAAGAGAATAAAGTATATACAGGACAGAGTGAGAAAATGTAACATTATTTCAACAGAAGTCCTAAGAGGAGAAAAAAAGAAATAGGGCACAGATAATAAATTTTACTGGCCAAGGGTAAAAAAAAAATTGTGGCTGATAATTTTTCAGAAATGGTCAATGACAGAAATCCATAGAGTCAAGGATCCTAAGTAATTTCAGGAAAAAAGAAATAAAAATAAATCCACAACTAGAAACATTATAATGAAACTGTACCTCATCAAATACACCATAAAAAAATCTTAAAAAATGGCCCAAGAGAAAATATTAAGTTGAAAGGTGACTTGTCA